>NC_000003.12:133554058-133705574 GCF_000001405.40 Homo sapiens | reverse complement strand
TGCTCTTTCCTATTTGAAGATAGGTTCCATCCCAAAATCTCCCCAGTACTCTAGCAGATGCAGGCAAAGAAAGTGGAGGTGCTCATTGAAGGGAAAGAGAGGGAGAGGTCATATCCCTTTGCATTAGCTGTGTAATAAGTCATCCTGATATCTTTCTTCCCTTCAGAGTCTTAGACTGTGGTAGGCAATCATTATTTTTGCTATACGGGAGGGAAAGAACCCAGTCCAGGGAGTCAGAAAGATCTGGATTCAGTCTTTATTCTACAATGGAAACATCATTTATCCTTTTTTTTTTTTTTTGAGATGGAGTTTTGCTGTTGTTGCCCAGGCTGGAGTGCAATGGCACGATCTCAGCTCACTGCAACCTCTGCCTCCCAGGTTCAAGCGATTCTCCTGCCTCAGCCTCCCTGTAGCTGGGATTACAGGCACCTGCTGCCATGCCCTGCTAATTTTTGTATTTTTAGTAGAGACAGGGTTTCGCCATGTTGGCCAGGCTGGTCTCGAACTCCTGACCTCACGTGATCCACCCACCTCAGTGTCCCAAAGTGCTGGGATTACAGGTGTGAGCCACCACGCCCGACCCATCACTTATCTTTTCTAAGCCTCAGTTTTTACAGCTATAAAATGGAGATACCACTATTTACCTCACAGAGTCGTTTTGTTTTGAAAGATAATGTAGCAGATGAGGTGTAATCAATGATATTAGGGAAACCCTCTTTTACACCAGCTTCATTTTTCCATGTGGATGGATCCCCACTAAAGAACATGACCTTGCAGCCCCACCTTCTCAACCACCCAGTGCATCTGGGTGAAGGATCATGAGCACATGTGGCTCAGCCCCTCTTTCTTTCTTGAAGACAATGGGGAGAGAGTTGTTTGGGTCTTCTCACCTATGATAAAATGTGTTTCCCTTTGCCCTTAGTCTTGGCATAAGCCATCAGACCCATTTTCCTGAACTAGTGGGCAACTTTAAGGTAAGGGTGACTTGCAGCCCCGTGCCAGCTCTACATCACACACTCCAGTATCACAATCTCAGAAGTAAAGGTGTTATTTTGATCTCTTTCTGCCTGATTCCTTTGTCTATATCTTAATTGTTTCTGGCTCCAGGAGAGGGAGACTTTTTTTTTCTACTAGCTCCATACATTCCAACAATAGTTATTATCTCAACACTAAACTAAGTTATTTCCTCATCTTTCTATGCCCACAGCCCAGGGGAACTGTGGACAGAAAAAATGGAGACGGACACTCCCCTCCACTTACTGTAGTTCTCTGCCAGGACAGGCACCAGACCACATTTCCCTGCTATGTAGATGAATCCTGCATCCAAGCTCATGGCATCAGCTTCCCCTTTCTGAAGTTAAGAAACAAATCAATAGCACAATAGCTGTCTCCTGGGCCTCTGACCCTCAGAGGTTCTCATTTCACTGGCTTCATGTAAACATCCTTGTGATTAACCAATTGTGGATCACTCAAAGCTTCTGCCATGTAAACACAGGGTTTAGAAAACTGGACATGCTCTTGGCCTGTTGACCTGGGAACAAGTTCCAACCCAGGTCATGCCCCCTGGACATCTCTGTGTCCTCTGATGAGACCCATGCTGCGTCCTGGATATGACCTCACCACCCCTTCTTTGTGGCTATAGTCACTCAACCCAGCAATTAACATGGCCAGACTCAGGAAATGCATTTAACCTGTTTCTATGGGATATGTTTCTTCCAGATAATGGAGTTCAAATCTGTTCCCATAATCCCACTAGCACTGTACTCAGTGCCTGGCACAACAAAGATTTTCAATAAATAATTCATTTCTCTAGATAATACACTAATAATTCACTTATTATTTTAATCAATTAATTTTTCTAATAGAGTAAAAAATGTATACTTATAGATAAGGTCACCAAGATAAAAACATGCATATACATGCTCTTTGTTTTTGACCTTTTCACTACCCTTCTAGAAATCTAAAAACAGTGACTACAGCAGCAAAAACTTACCAAGCCTTATTATGTGCCAGGCTCCTTTCTAAACACTTCACAGTGATTACCTCATATATTCCTCACAAACTTCAATAAGCTAGATACTAGAATTTCCCCTCTTTTATAAATGAAAGCAGAAAGGTTAAATTTGTCCAATCAACAGCGGCTAAGACTTAAACCTAGGCAATTTAATTCCTTGTAACCACTATTCCAGATGGCCTCCAAGATCTGTCTACCCTAAAGCACGTTTCCCTCAATACTATGCTATTTACATGTTTTCATCCATAAGTTGGGTAAAAATTATACCCTATAGGTTTATCATGAAGACTAAATGAGTAATACAGTTTAAGAGCTCATAAACATGCTTGTCACACAGTAACTCCAGAAAAATTAGTTACCATTAATATTAAAGATATACTCAGAAATATAGGCATTTATAGATACAAAGATTTTTCAATCCCACATTGTCTATAATAGCAAAGGATTTGGAAATAACTCAAATATAAACACTGAGAAACTGGTTAAATGGAGGCTAACATACTTGGTGGAATATTACATAGCCATTATTTAAATGAGTGTTTCATTATTTAAGAAAATATACCAACTGTCCCTGGGATTTTGAATAATAATAACAGCTAACACTTAGTTACTGCTAACTATATGCCAGGCAATGTTATATGTACTGAGATTTACTTAATCCTTACAATTGACACATTTAGTAGACTACATAACCATCAAGATCTTAATCTTAGGAATTGGTGCTAGGAAGGTTTACCAAGATGAGGGTCTTCTCAAGTTAAACAAAACAAAATGAAATGGTTGCATAGCCTTCTAAGTTTGTCAAATTTTCATTCTTTATTTATAAGTTTATTTTTTCCTAATCACAAAAATAGTTCTGCTCATAAAGTTAATAACAACACAATTTCATCGCTCAGAGATCATAATAAATAAAATAAATAAAATCATTCACAACTTCGTCACTCAGAGATCATCATCACATAATCTCTGAGTGATGAAGTTGTGAATGATTTTATTTTTACTTTCTGATTTTTTTAGAGACAGGGTCTTGCTCTGTCACCCAGGCTAGAGTGCAATGGTGTGACCATGGCTCACTGCAGCCCTATTTTTATTTATTTATTGTAATATTTTATAACCAGAAAAAATAAACTTACAATTAAAGGATTGAAAAGGTTGATCTGCTTTCACAATTCACAGTAGCCCTGACCATAGCCCGGAATGTCACCCTACTTCCTGGGACTCCTAGGCAAGACACTCCCCTGAGCTAACTGGACTCCAGAGCTGAGCCCCCCAGGAGTCCAGCTCTTGGATTGGCTCTGTGTTTCTGCCCTGCCCAGAGCTGGAGGGGCCTGTGGGGTGGGTGGGAGGCAGCACACAACAGGTGTCCTTATCCTGGAGGCTGAGGAAGAGGCATTTGGGAAGGAGAGCTTCAATGCCAGATTTGGCAGAAGTGCTGTGTGTCTGAGTGTCTGAGCCCAGCCTTAAAAGCAGGGCCCTCCAACTGTGATGGCAGTGATGCAGTCCTCTGGGGTCTCCTCCATGGTGCACGCCAAGGCACCACCAGTCACAGCACTCCACTCATCACACTTGGCCCTCTCATGGTGGCCCACTGCGCACCACCGCACCCTGGGGAGTCTTCCACATCTAGGCCGGGTGGAGGGATCCAAAGGAAGCCCCAGGTAGGTCTGGGAGCTTAGCGCTGCAGAGTGGCTGTCCAACAAGGCCTTCACTGGCAGCAGCAGAGCTGACATGTCTCATTCCCATGACACTGCTAATTCCTGCCTGTCACCCTCCAGGAGAAATGGGGAACTCACTTCTCAGAAAAATCAATCAGTGAAGACAGAGCTTCCCCCTGCTCCTGACCTCAGCTCCTCAGGCATCACCTCCCCAGGGAGGCCTCTCTGAGCACCAGCCCAGCTCAGGGTCTTCTGGGGTTTTCTCTTGCAAGACTGGGCTCCCCATCCAGGAAGCATGTCCCACTTGGCAGTCACGAGTTCTGTTCTGGGTGGGCCTGCTTGCTCTCCCCTCACCCAGTGTCTTTGCTCACCACCATATGCCCACGTCTAACACAGTGGCTGCCCTTCTGTAGATGCAAATACCTACTGGTTGACTAAATGGAGGGCAAAGCTAGAAGAAGGAAAGAAGGAAGAAATAAACCATAGAGATCCAGTAGATGGCCAGACCAGAAACCTCTGGATGGTGGTAGTGGCCACATTCCCACTTCAGTTTAAGATGGACTATTTTTATACTCCATGTCGAATAGACTCACCCTGGGTGGGATGACCCCACCTAATAAAAAGGAGCCAGGGCAATCATGTCTTCAAGTTTTCTAGAATATGAAGGCCATTAAAGCCACTTTCTAATCACAGAAAACCCCCTCATTAACCCAATGCAGTTAGTAGCTCCCTTGGGCTCTGCAGGCCAATAAACTTTGGGTGAAGCTTGCAGGCACCTGGAAAGCCTCCCATGATGGCCCCACCCCACCCTGCTGCCCAAGCTGGCCAGGTCCCTCCCGGGACCTTACATACCTCTTTTTGGATCCTGAGTCGCGGAAAAATACTCATATCCCAGGTACAGCTTGGCATCTATCTTAGGTGGGACCATTAAAAACCCATGGGCAGCATCAGTAAACAGCAGATCTGTCTCATGAGGAGAGCCAAAGAGCTGAAATTCTGACGACTTGTCTTTTCCAAAATGTTCCTGTTCAAAGGACAAAAGAGATGGTGAAGGAAGAAGGACGGCATAGAGGTAAAGGTAAAACAAACCCCAAAACAGACAAGGGAAACAGAAAGCAAGATATGAGTGTCTGAGGGTGAAGATGGTGGCCAAGCTCCCCAGCATCCCTGGCTCATGGTGAGGGAAAGCTCTCCTCAGATCCCAGCTTGTCTGCCTGGTGTGGCCTCGGGGAAATTGCCAGGGGCCACCCCCCAGATCCATCCCTTTCCACTGTGGGCTGAGGCTCTGTGTTCCCATGGGGCAGTTCAGCAAAGGCTGCCTCACCCTCAAGCCATCTGATCACCCTAAGCACCCGTGGCGGTCTCCATCCTAAAGAGGCTGGTGATCCAGCACCATGGGCTGCAATCAGACTTCCTGAGCTCCTCTTCTCCCCACGCCAAGCCTGCCACTGAAGGACCAGCTGTGGGACACCAAACGGTTCCTTCCCCTTTCTGGCCTCCAAAAACCAAAGGGCTCTTTGCCTATGACTCCGGTTGACTGGCCCAAAGCCACTCCTGACATAGCTCACAGCAGCACCTACCGACGTGCTCTTTCAAATGGCTGGCTGGTGTTTGCTTTTGCAGTGACTCTACATGAAATGCCACCTGCTGCCCTCCCTGACAACCCCCACCCCCCACCTCCTTAGGATGCACACAGTTACTCCCCAGGGCCCAGGAACTTTCCCAGATACATCCTGCAAATCAGTCCCTTTGTCCTCCATAAAGGACGCCATCCATGTCCATGAGGTAGTCCAATTCCATCAGGTAAGAATCCATACTCGTGTGCCTCCCACACTCATCTGTGAATGACTCAAGACAAGTCTTTGCCAAGTTCATCTCTGAGTCCCCCAGTGCTAAGGAGAGAGCGTTGGCAGAGTTGTCAGGAGGGCAGGATCACATGCCATGGGATGACAGGGGAGGACTTTGTGGAGGAAGAGGGTCATGTGAACTCATCCTGAGGACCTGTTTAGAATGAAAAATAATTAAATGGGACAAGAAGAACTTCTGCAGAGAGTCTTCAGTCCACCAGGTTCGTGGTTCCAGATGAGGTTTTATTCCTCTGCTGTATATAACACATATAGACTGAGCGGCTTGTCAGTGAAGAGGATCACATGTGGCATGGCTCCCACTGTACCCTGAACATACCAGGACTTCCAGAATGACAAGAAGGCAAGGAAGTTAACCTCCCTCCAAATCCAAGCAGGGAGCACTAAGCCAGAGGGGAAGATGGCAGGTGGGGATACCTGGACCTGGTTGAGAAGCTTCTAGATCAAGTCCTCCTTGCCACCCACACTTCAGGCCATGACAGTATGAGAAAGGACCCAGGCCAAATGGCAGTCCTTGTATCCAACTACCAGCTTCTGGGTGTTGTTCAGGCAAAGCAGCTCATACTGGTCCTTGTCAGCCTTGTTTGCCAGGTTCTCTGGGGAGGGAAAGCCCAGGTGAGCCTAACGCAGGAGAGCCATGAGCCATAGTTAGGATGACCCATGCCCCTCACCGAACCATCAAATATGTGGCCTGAAGAGGACTGAGGGAGAATTTTTTTCCAAAAACATTTTATACAGATAAGGACTAGAGGCCTCAGGAGTGAAACAGCTGGTTCACAATCTCACTGCAGGTAGACACAGGGCTGGGCAGTGTGCCTGGCCCAGGGCCCTCCAACTGCCTGGCTCTGCTAATAGGAATGGTGACAGCAAATGTGTAATGTGCACTCATAGCTCATCAAAGACTTGCTGAAGGCTCTCCAGGCTCTGTTGCATTTAATCCTCACAACAACTTGGAGAGGCCAGTAATATGATTATCTCATTCTACAGATGAAGAAACTGAGACTCAGAGACTTAAGGTAACTAGTCTGGGGCTGACGCATTACCATGCCAAGATGGCCCAGGTCCCCCACTAAAGGGGCCACATTCCCTTTGATGCAGAGCCTGCTGGGAAAAGGTGAGAGGGTTGAGAGATGGAAGGAGGTCTAGGGGCCCAGTCAGGGTAACCTGCAGGTACAAAGATGAACCAGAAAGACCCTATGAGTAAAACAGCCTCTTTGATTCCATTGTCTAGGTATTGAAAAGTGTTGTGGGTTCAATAAATTCATATATTGAAGTCCTAATCCACATTACCTCAGAATGTGACCTTATTTGGAAATAGGGACCTTGAAAATGTAATTAGTTAAGATGCGGTCACACTGGGATAGGGTGGACCCCTAATCCAAAAAGACTGGTGTCCTCATGAAAAGGGGGAGTTTGGACACAGAAGACATGCACACAGGCCATGTGAACATAAAGGCAGAGATTGGAGTGATGTGTCTGTGAGTCAAGCAACACCAAAGATCAGCAGCAAACCACCAGAAGCGAGGACAGTGGCCTGGAACAGATTCTCCTCACAGCTCTCAGGAGGACCCAACCCTGCCAACATCATGATCTTGGAATTCTAGCCTCCAGAGGTACCAGACAAGATATTTATGTTGCTTAAACCACCCAGTTCATGGTACTTTGCTACAGCAGTCCTAGAAAACGAATACAGATGTGTTACTGGATGGAAAGTCTTGACTGTGAGTTGTCCAGGTTCTTGGCACATTGAACAAAGAATTGAAGAAAATGCACAAATAAAGCAACAACAGAATGAAGCAATGAAAGAAGCAATGAAAGTGCAGATTGATTGAAGTGAAAGTACACTCTACAGAGTGGGAGCAGGCTCCAGCGAGCAGCTCAAGAGCCTTGATCACAGTGTTCTTTAGGGTTTTTATTAAGCAAAAAGAATTTGGTAACACCCCAGGTGCTGTTTAGAGGCCTCCAGCTGGTTATACCCTATGAAGGACTGGCCCATGGCCAATTAGAGGCTGAAGTGGAGACAGTCTTGTTATCACAGGAGTGAGGATGTGGCCTATATGCTGCCTAATCTTGCCTAGAACTAACTGACTACACCTGCTGCCCTATTGCTTATGCCTTAACTCTTGATTACCCTATATCCCTATTCTCCTGCATCAGATGGTCTTTGGGGTTGATAAAATCTCAAACTGAAAGAGAAAGAGTGTTATCAGGGCTGCTGTGAGTGGTTACAATTTTAATTTAGTATTTTCTCTAGAAAATACGTTTTAAATCTTTACATTAAAAGAAAAATTTCAAAATGATTTAGTAATGTTAGAATTAAATTTAGAGAATCAATATGACCTAATGGCCTCAGAAATAAATCACTTTTCCACCTTGGCCACTCAAAGGCCCAGGGGGGCAGCAGCAGCCCAGGGCTCTCCACCCCCACTCATTGTCATAGTCTCATGACATTCTCCTACCAGGCAAGAAGAGATCTTACAAAATAGCACACAAGTGACTTTGGGCAAAGGTAAATCAAGATGGTCTGGGACAATCTGTCGTTTCCATAAAGTGAGGATGTTTTCAAATACTTCAGGGGGAGATAGAAGATGCTGCCACTATCATTAAGTGTGGTAACCTGAGCATCCAAAGGACATAATAATTATTTGAAACAACTTGATGAGACCCATAGATGACCCCACTAATTAAAATTGTGGATAATAAGACATGCATCAATTGCCAAAATGCTAACAAACCAGTGTAATAATGAGTAATAATTGTAGTCAATGTGTAATAATAATAATTTGATGAGACCCATAGGTGACCCCACTAATTAAAATTGTGGATAATAAGACATGCATCAATTGCCAAAATGCTAACAAACCAGTGCAATAATGAGTAATAATTATAGTCAATGTGTAATAATGAGGAGACAGTGAATTGTGAATAACTGAACAAGGGAACAAAGGACACTGAAGTCAATTTCATGTTAGGAAAGACATTAAGTTGTAAGGAACTGGGACCCATGTAAAAAGCGATGATCTAAAATTCTCCTCAAGTAGCAGACATTATAAAAATGAGCTTAGCACAGTGAATATATACATGTATTTCAAATGTTTTGAATGTTCTGTATCTGATAGAAATTTAATTTGTTATAAGACCCAGAATCTGGAAACTCAATTAGTCTGAAATATTTTGTTTGTTTGTGGTAAACTGTCCAAAATTCTGAAAAAGTTTGGGTTTTTTTCATAAATGTAAAAAAAAAAAAGAAGAAGAAGTACACTTTTGTCCATGGCAATAATGCTTTTGAAACAGATTTAAATGCAGATGTGCTAATAAGTTCTGAAATATTTACAATAATTTGTATGTTTTGCTTAAGGTGCCTGAAGCAGTTGAGAGACATTTATAATGAAATGTTCAGGAGAATGTGATTAAATTTGAAATTTCAATGACTAAGAGAATTGATTATTACAACTTGTTTTATTAGATGGTAAGTATTGTTTAAATGTTCATAAAATTTGTTTAGTAGATTTATAGATGAATCAAACTGAGCACTAAAGAAAGAACAAATACAGCAGAGTCCCACCTTATTCAAGGGGGATATGTTCTAAGACCCACAGTGGATGCCGGAAATCACGGATAGTACCAAACCCTAATATAGTATTTTTTTCTATACTACATACTTATGATAAAGTCTGATTTATAAATTAGGCACAGTAAGAGATTAACAACAATAATTAATAAAAAAAGAACCATTTTTTTTTTTGAGACAGGGTCTTGCTCTGTCGCCCAGGCTGGAGGGCAGTGGCGTGATCATAGCTCGCTGTAGCCTCCAACTCCTGGTTGGAGGCTTAAGCGATTCTCCTGCCTCACCCTCCCAAAGTGCTGAGATTACAGGCATGAGTCACTCTGCCCAGCCAAAATTGAACAATTATAACAATATGCTGTAATAAAAGTTAAGTGAATATGGCCTCTCTCTCTCTCAAAATATCTTCTTATACCATACTCACCCTTCTTGTGAAGGCACTGCTACATAAACGGGAAGTGCCAGGAATAAGCAATTCACAAGTGTTACATTGCTTGCTGTTCTGATAGTGTGATAGAATTTCGCACTGTTCTGCTCTGTCCCTCCCAGGTTGTGAATCCTCCCTTTGTCAATGCTGTATCCACTCTGTCTACGTTACCTACCTGTTAGTTACTTAGTAGCCTTCTCAGTGATCAGATCCACAGCTGTGGTATCAAAGGGCTTGTGTTCCAGTAACTCTTATTTTACTTAGTAATGGCCCCAAGGTGCAAGAGTAGTGATGTAATATTTTTGCACCTTGGTTGGCCACAAGTCCAACTGTGTTAAAGTGATACTGTGGATAAGGGGGAATTACTGTAAAAGAAATGCTTACATAGAAACTCTCCTGTGGCATTAATGAGCTTCACCCATCTCTAGATATAAGGCAACTTGAGTTTCCAGATTCTGGGTCTTATAACAAATTAAATTTCTATCAGATATAAGGCAACTTATATCTAGAGATGGTGGCTCACGCCTGTAATCCCAGCACTTTGGGAGACAAAAGTGGGTGGATCACGAGGTCAAGAGATCAAGACCATTCTGGGCAACATGGTGAAACCCTCTCTCTGCTAAAAATACAAAAATTAGCTGGGTGTAGTGGCATGTGCCTGTAGTCCCAGCTACTCGGGAGGCTAAGGCAGGAGAATCGCTTGAACCCAGGAGGCGGAGGTTGCAGTAAGCCGAGATCATGCCACTGCACTCCAGCCTGGTGACAGAGGGAGACTCCATCTCAAAAAAAAAAAAAAAAAAAAAGAACCAGCTCCTCTGGCTAGGGTGGGGTCCACACCATCCTTCAGACACATGACAGGAGAGCCACAGTCAGGCACAGGCCTCACTTCTCCCCCATGCAGCCCCTCTGAGGGTCAGCCCGGACTGCTGGCTAACAGGGCTTTGCCCAGAGTTCCTGAGTATCAGTCTTTCCTCACAGAGGTGACGGCTTTGTCTGAAGGGCCTTTGAACCCCACAGCGAAGCCCAGGCCAAAAGCAGCCAGGAGCCCTGGCAGTCACCAAACCAGACAACTCTGAGGAGGCAGGATGGGAAAGAAGGATCCTCATTTTCCTCTTAGAAAGCAGCCAAAAGCAACAGGTTTAAATGAAAATAATAATAATAATAAATAAATAAATAAATAAATAAATAAATAAATAAAACTAAAGGCTTAAAGCCTTTACATGGAGACTAATAACTTTGGATAGCCTTGGAGTAGTAGCTATTTCTCTTATGGAGCATGGAGTGTGCAGAAGTGCCTGCAAGGGGGCTGAGAGGGAGATGGGGCGAGGTACGCACAAGAAGCAGCTCAGCAGAAAGTTGTGAGCTGGGAGGTCCTGACCTTTGGCCCTGCCAAAAGCCCAGACCTGTGTCTGTAGATCTCAGAGTCCTAGACATGAGTCTGTCTCCCTAGCATTCCCTTGTCTAGGAGGGTAACATGGGCAAACCCCAAGCTCTGGGGAGGCCAGGGCTCCCACACAGAAGAGTGCTCTGTGGATGGTTAGGAGCAAGGCTTGGCCATGGGAGGCACCTGGGACCCCAGATTTCTCACTGATGCTCTAGGTGGCCTGGGGTGGGCCCTGTTCGCTCTCTGTGCCTTTGTCTCCCCAACATCAGGCTGAGGAGGAGGAGCAGTGGGGTCTCACTCACTTAAGGCTCCCGCGTAGCCAAAGTACGATTCTTGGGAGGAGCAGGCACACTTGTCTGTCCCTTTCCCTGCACACAGTTGACACAGGCGAGGGAAATTCTTCATGTCCTCACAGGGGACGCAGCTGCTGGAGAAGAACTTGGCCGCTGCTGCTCAACACAGAGACATGGACCCCAGGGCATGAGCTGGCTGGGACCTCCAGGTCGTACATGTGTGCGAGAGAGTGGCCCTCACTGAGAGCCCATGCATCTGCACACACCTCCCAGGACTGGCTGAGGAAGTGGGTGTGCAGGGGCCAGCCAGTGCAGCCTGCTGGAGGTGGCTGGCAATGCCCATGCCGGAGGGAGTGTGTGGCCCAGGGTCCCTGCGGGTTTAGGCATCACACTGATGGGGTGATGGAACCCACAGGAATGTTCCCCAGCTTGTCCGCTGCAGGGTGTGAGAGCCACTGACCTACACTGAACTAAGACTTCAGTCCCAGTGGCACGCAGCTCTGCTAATTCACCCACACGGAGGCTGGAAGGGGCCAGGCTGAACTCTAAACACAGCAGGAACACTTGCACATCAGCCAAACCCAAATAGTCCTTCTTTACCTCAGGAAACACCTTCCCCTCAACCTCCCCTTGTGTATCCAGAGGCTGTGGTAGTTCATGGGATATGCCTTCTGGAAAAGTTGGGACAGCTTGTCGAGGAGGGGGTAGGAGGTGGGCTACCAGCCACTGCACAGCTGCCCAGATGGGTGTCCAGTAGCACCTGACACTGAGGCAAGTGATCACTCCCAGAAAGGGCAAAGCATGGCCAGAGCTGCGATCCAGGCTGTAGCCCTTCTCAGGTCCCTGCAGTCACTTGTCCCTGTCACAGTCAGACATCAACACTGCAGAGGTTGGCCGGACTCAAAAAGATGTACTTTTGCAGAGTTCAAAAAGATCTGGCCATCATTATTCAAGGGCTGAAAAATCACCCTAGCCTTACTGTGCCTCAACATAACTGAACAGGGAGCCTGGAGAACACAAAAAATCCTAGTGCCAGCCCAGTCACCCTTTCCTTGCCCATGTCCCAAGCCCTCACCTAAGGCATGTAGGCCTGGGTGCCAATAGTGTGTCTAGAATCCCCAATGAGCCTTTCTGGGAAGCTGGGAGGGAGGTGGCTTTTCTTAGAGGGCCTCAGTGATGGCCCTTGTCAAGCCAAGCGACTAGGGATAAGGAGGAAGGTGGGACTGACACCTTTCCTCAGAGAAGACTCAGCTGCCAGCTCCCAGGAGTTGCTGGTGCACACACCCAGCCAGTGCATATTTAAAGCAGGTTACCCTCACTCCATCTTGGAGGCCGTGGACACATACACTTCACAATGACAGTGTGACTCCAGCACAGCCCATGCGGGTGACCAGTGCAGGAGCCCTGCCTGGGCACACCCAGCCCCAGCTGGCTCATCGGTTTCAAGGGAGCTAGGGGGAAGCAGTGTCCTGATGGGGATGTTCTATCCAGCAGACCAGCCCAGGCCCATGTGGCAGGACTTCTTGCCTTGGAGCTGGCTCAGCTGGAAGTTGGTGCTCTCTTCACCATGGCAATGACATAATGGTGGGTTTGTGGATCTGCAAAGGAGCCGAGAGGAATAAGGGCCAAAGGAAGATGCCATATTGTCACTGATCTTCTGGAGCACGTACCATGCAGAACTCTGGGGATGCTAGGACCTCACCACCCCCCTGCAAGTGGGTAGAAAAAGAAAAAAAAAGCCCTTAATTGACAGGAGAGAGAACACCATCCCTTTTCAAGGCAATAAACACTAGTTCTTTTTTCTGCTAGTCCCTCCAAGCCAGTGGAGACAGGATCCTCAAGGGCACCAGCTATTAGGGCCTACTGAGTGGAGCGCACTTAGGGAGCGCTTCAGCACCCAGCCATCGTGATGTCACTGCTTCTTCCTGAGGGCTTTTCTCCTTTTCCCCCTTTCCCCAACAGCAGTTCTCCCTGCAGCTCAAACACGAAGTAAAGGTGTGAGAGGAGTCCCAGGAATATGCCAGGGCCCTGCAAGAGTCAGACTGAGGCCAGCTGTGCTCACACACACTGATGACACGATGACACTAATGGACAAGTATGGGAAAGAGGTAAAGCCTCATTCTTAGACTCCCCCAAACCTCTCCTCACCATAAATCCAGGCCCATGTTCTGTTGCCCAGGCAGGGTTAGCACAAGGAAGACGCAGTCAGGTCCTGTGTGTCTCCAGAGAGGGGCCTCCCATGGGTGAGACCCCACTGGGTGAGCAATGGACTCTGGATAGCACTCCCCTCTCAGGCTGGAGATACCCTACAGCCAGCAGCACCAGCGGAGTTTCTATCAAAATGTGCAAAGTTTGCAGTCGCCCAGGAAGAGCCACTTTCCCAGCCCTCAGGAGTTAGCATCAGAGACAGCCTCCTTCAATGCAAAGAGCTCCAGCAACTTTGTTCCCTACTAAGTGTAATGCTGACAGGGCCCCTGCCACCCACACCCATCATTGCTGCAGTGTCAGACCAGAGACACCAGTCCCCAGGGAGAACACACCATCTTTTGACCCATAGATTTCTACCACGATGGGCTTAAGGCTGTAGGGGGCCAGGCCTGCCTCAAACACTAAACCTCCATCAATGGTCACAGCATCTGCTTCATTTGCCTGAAAGAGAAGGGATCAAACCATGCATGATGCCCATCACTTCTGAGAAAGACTCCTCTAACCCTCTGCCAGAGACACTTGCTCAATAGACACTTGCATGACTCAAGCCTCCTTCACCTCCATTACATCACTGCTCAAATGTCATCTCCTCAGTGAGGCATTCCCTGACCACAGTCTTCAAACTACCATCTCGTGTATGCTGGATGCCACTTTGTTTTCCTTCTGAGCCTTATCAACCACGTGACAAACTCTGTTTATTGTTTGTCCTCCCCTTTGGAATGTAAGCTCCATGAAGGTGGAGGCATGTTTGTCTGTTCTATTCCCTACTCAATCCCAGCACCTAGAGGAGCACCTAGCACAGGTAGGTGTTCAATAAACATTTCTTGGGTACGTAAGTGAATGCATTGTAGAATATTTCCATCCATAAGAAGTCAGGTTTGGCACTCTCAAATGTGGATTCCCTTGGCAGGGATCTGTCAGCCAAAAGTTCCTTCCTTCAAGAAGCAAGCAACTTCACAGCCTCTTCTCCACAATGAGGTTGGATCATTTCCCTACCCATCATGGAAATCATTCTTTTTATTCATTTATTGACTGACATTTAAAGCAACTTGAGATTTTCTGAATTTACTATTATGTTTCTGTATGCCTCCCTTTTCCTCCATCCCACTTTTTCTTATAAATATTTTACAATATATATTCATATATATGTATGTATATTTGTATCTATGTGTGTGTGTATAAAGTTAGGACTCTAATTAAATGCATGCATCAGAAACTGACATAAATAACCTTAAGAAAAGGAGAGATTTAGTATACAGGTAAAAGGGCAAGAAGGCCGCTGGGCCTTGTGAACACCATCAAGATGAGAAGCAGCGAGAATTGACATGGGTTTCAGTCCGTCCCGTGGGCTCCAGCTCATGATTATGGCCTCCAGGTAGTTCTTGCCTTTTCCCACTTTACATACATCTTTCTTTCCTGACTGACTCCTCTGCAAACCCCAATAACAGATGCAAAAAGACAACAGTCTTATAGAGACTGCTTAACTAGCACCCACAACTGTATAAGGTCAAACTCCTCTAACATATCTCTCCCTCTCTCTTCCCATAAACACACATACACATACACACATTACAAAAATAGATGAAAATTTATGCACATCTTTATGACCCTTACTGAATATTTCTAAGTTGGTTTCCAGAAATGATATAGAAATGTATGATTTATAATGCCAATAGCAATGCGTACCAATTTCACTGCAAACCTACCAGTGAGAAGTGTTATCACTTTAGAAATGTCATTACATTACTAAATATAAACTGTTATTTTTAGAATGGTTTTATTTGAATTTCTTTGTTTATTAAAAGGGATGAACATTTTTCCTTTATTGTTAATATTCTTAGTTGTAATGTCTTTTCTGCAAATGGCTTGTTTATAGTTTTTTTATTCTTCAGCATTTCTTATAAGTTTAAATGACAACTTTATATAGTTTGTGGTTTTGTTATAGCTGATGTGATTTTTTTTTGGCATGCTTAGGGCTTTTTAAAAACATTTCTTTGTCATGGTTTAAAATTTTTTACATTTCCAAATTTGTCTACTTTTGTAATTTATCTAGTTATGTCTATGTCTTTTAATCAAGTTGAGTCAAGCTGGGAATTTATTTTGGTGAATGGATTAAGAAGCTCACTTGATTATTTTTCTGAATGGCTACCTAGTTGTCCAACTAAAGACTCCTTTCTCAGCCATTTGTTTGGCAAGTTTGCCTTATTATACTTATCTAAATCTAGTATACATGTATCAAAACACTACATTTACCCCATAAATATGTACAATTATTATTTGTCAAATAAAAATTCAATTTAATTTGATTTAAAGAACAAATCTACTTGTATCTTACCTAAATTTATTAAGCCTAGGACCCTCGTGCCCTAATGTCTATCACAGTTTGCATCTATATCATATCACGTAGATAATTAGGTAGTTGAATGGATATACAGAAAGCTGACAATGTATCTGAATTTTGTTCTCTTCTGGGTCTTCTATATATGTGCCAGTATCCTGTCCTGTGTATCACTGTTATTTAAATATGGTATAGTTTTAGGTAGGACTCAGCCACTCCCCTGCTACTTTTCTTTTTCATAATACAACTTTAAAATTTCATGCATGTACTTTTTCTCAAGAATTTTATAAATATTTTATTGATTCTTTTAAAAAGGCTGTATTTTGATTAAACTTTTACTAAATTTATGAGTTAACTTTGGGAGGGTATGCAAGTATGTGATATTTAGTCTTTCCATCTGGAAATACAGCATATGTTTTCATTTGTTAATAAATATTATTCACTTGTTACAGACTTCTATATTTTATTTATTTATTTGTTATTTTATTTATTTATTTATTTTGACGCAGAGTCTCGCTCCGTTGCCCAGGCTGGAGTGTAGTGGCACAATCTTGGCTCACTGCAACCTCTGCCTCCTGGGTTCTCCTGCCTCAGACTCCCAAGTAGCTGGGACTACAGGTGTGTGCCACCATGCCCGGCTAATTTTTGTATTTTTCTAAATGGCTAGAGATGGGGTGTCACCATGTTGGACAGGCTGGTCTTGAGCGCCTGACCTCAAGTGATCCACCCGTCTTGGCCTCCCAAAGTGCTGCGATTACAGGTGTGAGCCACCACACCCAGCCTATATTATACTAGTAAAAGCCTTGCAGATCTCTCATATAATATTTTTCCAGAAATAATTTTCTTTTTATTATTTTAAATGTAAATGAGATAACAATTTTGGGATTTTTTTCACAATTAACAATTGTTGGTATATGAAAATGACTTTGTGATACATTTATCTTTTGCCAAACTAATGTATTCATTAATAAATAATTATAGCAACATTTCTCTTGATTCTACTGTATTTTCTAGGCATTCCACCATCTGAAAATATTGGTGTTTTTGTTTGTTTCTTCTATCTTATATGCGTTTTCTATCTTATTGCACTACCATAACTTCCAAAAACATTTAGTAATAATACTGACACTAGAGATTCTTGTTTATTTCTGAGTCTTTATAGATTCTCTTTCAATGTAATGCTAGCTTTGCTTGACATAGGTATTTTACTGAGATTGAATCCTTCTCTATTAGTTGTTTAATTATGATTAGGATTATGATTTTTGCTATCAATGAATGTTGAGCAGCTACATTTTTCTCTACCCACAGTCCTTGCATTTTCAGATCTTTGGCTTGTTTCTTTCTCCTCTAAAGCATGGTCTGGTTCCTGTGGGGAGAAAGCAATAAACAACAGCAAGTGCAGAAAAACAAAACGAAAGTATAGGCTTTCTTCCACTGTGTTTTAGGCAGCAGTGACTTAACTGTGATGGCTTTAATGTACTCAAGGGAAGACGCTCTCTCCACGCAGGTGACAAGGGGACCATCTGCTGGAAACACTTTTTTCATATTGTCTCGGAAACTGGTGCACTTCGTGGCCTCGTGATCTGACATGGCACACCATCTTCCAGTTTTCTCAGGAGCAGCCAGGCACAGCCCTAGGAGAGAGAGGCCAGAGGTGTAAGGGACCCACAGCACTCACTCTTCTGTGCTGGCAGAAGAGGTTAAAGACAAGATAAACGGTCAGCTGAGAAGGGTACACACAAATTCCATAGGCTGCCTGGCTCACATGAATTCTCTGGCCCATTTCTTTGATTCTACCCCACCCCTCAGCTAAAAAAGCCAAAAGATTCCACCAAAAGTTAAACACAGAATTAGCATATAGTACAGCAATTTCACTTTTAGGTATATATCCAAAAGAATTGACAACAGGGATTCAAAGAAACACATGCACACGAATGTTCACAGCAGCACTATTCACAATAGCTGAACAGTGGAAACAGCCCAAATGTGCATCAACAGATGAATGCATGAACAAAATGGGGAATAGCCAGATGATGGAATATTATTCCGTCATGAAAAGAATGAAGTACTGCTACATGCTGCAGTGTAAATGAACCTCGAAAACTCCAACTTGAGTGAAAGGAGCCAGACACAAAAGGCTACCCATGATATGATTCCATTTATATGAATATCTAGACTAGGTACATCTATAGAGACAGGAAGGATATTAATTGGTGGTTGCCATGTGGTAGGGGGTGACGAAAATGGGTACTGACTGTTTAATGGGTATGTGGTTTTCTTTTAGGGTGGTGAAAATGTTTTGGAACTAGATAGAGATGATGGTTGTACAACATTTCCAATGCCCTAAATACCACTGATTTGTACACTTTTGAATGGTTAAATTGTGTTATGTGAATCTCATCTCAAAAAGGAAGAAAAAAAGAAAGCTTCCTACCCTCGTAGGTAGGGCCTAGTGATTTAGTCAGTATCTTTTTTTTTTAAATTATACTTTAAGTTGTAGGGTACATGTGCACAACGTGCAGGTTTGTTACATATGTATACATGTGCCATGTTGGTGTGCTGCACCAACTAACTCATCATTTACATTAGGTATATCTCCTAATGCTATCCCTCTCCCCTCCCCCCACTCCAAAACAGGCCTCAATGTGTGATGTTTCCCATCCTGTGTCCAAGTGTTCTCATTGTTCAATTCCCACCTATGAGTGAGAACATGTGGTGTTTGGTTTTCCGTCCTTGCGATAGTTTGCTCAGAATGATGGTTTCCAGCTTCAACCATGTCCCTACAAAGGACACAAACTCATCCTCTTTTATGGCTGCATAGTATTCCATGGTGTATATGTGCCACATTTTCTTAATCCAGTCTATTGTTGATGGACATTTGGGTTGGTTTCAAGTCTTTGCTATTGTGAATAGTGCCACAATAAACATAGGTGTGCATGTGTCTTTATAGCAGCATGATTTACAGTCCTTTGGGTATATACCCAGTAATGGGATGGTTGGGTAAAATGGTACTTCTAGTTCTATATCCTTGAGGAATTGCCACACTGTCTTCCACAATGGCTGAACTGACACTCCCACCAACAGTGTAAAAGCATTCCTATTTTTCCACATCCTCTCCAGCACCTGTTGTTTCCTGACTTTTTAATGATCGCCATTCTAACTGGTGTGAGATGGTATCTCATTGTGGTTTTGATTTGCATTTCTCTGATGGCCAGTGATGACAAGCATTTTTTCATGTGTCTGTTGGCTGCATGAATGTCTTCTTTTGAGACGTGTCTGTTCATATCCTCTGCCCACATTTTGATGGGGTTGTTTGATTTTTTCTTGTAAATTTGTTTAACTTCTTTGTAGAATCTGGATATTAGCCCTTTGTCAGATGGGTAGATTGCAAAAATTTTCTCCCATTCTGTAGGCTGCCTGTTCACTCTGATGGTAGTTTCTTTTGCTGTGCAGAAGTTCTTTAGTTTAATTAGATCCCATTTGTCAATGTTGGCTTTTGTTACCATTGCTTTTGGTGTTTTAGACATGAAGTCCTTGCCCATGCCTATGTCCTGAATGGTATTGCCTAGGTTTTCTTCTAGGGTTTTTATGGTTTTAGGTCTAACATTTAAGTCTTTAATCCATCTCGAATTAATGTTTTTATAAGGTGTAAGGAAGGGATCCAGTTTCAGCTTTCTACATATGGCTACCCAGTTTTCGCAGCACCATTTATTAAACAGGGAATCCTTTCCCCATTTCTTGTTTTTGTCAGGTTTGTCAAAGATCAGATGGTTGTAGATGTGTGGTATTATTTCTGAGGACTCTGTTCTCTTCCATTGGTCTATATCTCTCTTTTGGTACCAGTACCATGCTGTTTTGGTTACTGTAGCCATGTAGTATAGTTTGAAGTCAGGTAGCGTGATGCCTCCAGCTTTGTTCTTTTCGCTTAGGATTGTCTTGGCAATATGGGCTTTTTTGGTTCCATATGAACTTTAAAGTAGTTTTTTCCAATTCTGTGAAGCAAGTCATTAGTAGCTTGATGGGGATAGCATTGAATCTATAAATTACCTTGGGCAGTATGGCCATTTTCACGAAATTGATTCTTCCTATCCAAGAGCAATGAATGTTCTTCCATTTGTTTGTGTCCTCTTTTATTTCATTGAGTAGTGGTTTGTAGTTCTTGAAGAGGTCCTTCACATCCCTTGTAAGTTGGGTTCCTAGGTATTTTATTCTCTTTGAAGCAATTGTGAATGGGAGTTCACTCATGATTTGGCTCTCTGTTTGTCTGTTATTGGTGTATAGGAATGCTTGTGATTTTTGCACATTGATTTTGTATCCTGAGACTTTGCTGAAGTTGCTTATCAGCTTAAGGAGATTTTGGGCTGAGACGATGGGGTTTTCTAAATATACAATCATATCATCTGCCCACAGGGAGAATTTGACTTCCTCTTTTCCTAATCGAATACCCTTTGTTTCTTTCTCCTGCCTGATTGCCCTGTCCAGAACTTCCAACACTATGTTGAATAGGAGTGGTGAGAGGGCATCCCTGTCTTGTGCCAGTTTTCAAAGGGAATACTTCTAGTTTTTGCCCATTCAGTATGATATTGGCTGTGGGTTTGTCACAGATAGCTCTTATTATTTTGAGATACGTCCCATTAATACCTAATTTATTGAGAGTTTTTAGCATGAAGGGCTGTTGAATTTTGTCAAAGGCCTTTTCTGCATCTATTGAGATAATCATGTGGTTTTTGCCTTTGGTTCTGTTTATATGATGGATTAGTTTATTGATTTGCATACGTTGAACCAGCCTTGCATCCCAGGGATGAAGCCCACCTGATCCTGGTGGATAAGCTTTTTGATGTGCTGCTGGATTTGGTTTGCCAGTATTTTACTGAGGATTTTTGCATCGATGTTCATCAGGGATATTGGTCTAAAATTCTCTTTTTTTGTTGTGTCTTTTCCAGGCTTTGGTATCAGGATGATGCTGGCCTCATAAAATAAGTTACAGAGGACTCCCTGTTTTTCTATTGATTGGAATAGTTACAGAAGGAATGGTACCAGCTCCTCTTCGTACCTCTGGTAGAATTTGGCTGTGAATCCGTCTGGTCCTGGACTTTTTTTGGTTGGTAGGCTATTAATTATTGCCTCAATTTCAGAGCCTGTTATTGGTCTATTCAGGGATTCAACTTCTTCCTGGTTTAGTCTTGGGAGGGGGTATGTGTCCAGGAATTTATCCATTTCTTCTAGATTTTCTAGTTTATTTGTTTAGAGGTATTTATAGTATTCTCTGATGGTAGTTTGTATTTCTGTGGGATTGGTGGTGATATCCCCTTTATCATTTTTTATTACATCTATTTGATTCTTCTCTCTTTTTTTCTTTATTAGTCTTGCTAGTGGTCTATCAATTTTGTTGAACTTTTCAAAAAACCAGCTCCTGGATTCATTGATTTTTTGAAGGGTTTTTTTGTGTCTCTATCTCCTTCAGTTCTGCTCTGATCTTAGTTATTTCTTGCCTTCTGCTAGCTTTTGAATGCGTTTGCTCTTGCTTCTCTAGTTCTTTTAATTGTGATGTTAGGGTGTCAATTTTAGAGCTTTCCTGCCTTCTCTTGTGGGCATTTCGTGCTACAAATTTCCCTCTACACACTGCTTTAAATGGGTCCCAGAGATTCTGATATATTGTGTCTTTGTTCTCATTGGTTTCAAAGAACATCTTTATTTCTGCCTTCATTTCATTATGTACCCAGTAGTCATTCAGGAGCAGGTTGTTCTGTTTCCATGTAGTTGAGCAGTTTTGAGTGAGTTTCTTAATCCTGAGTTCTAGTTTGATTGCACTGTGGTCTGAGAGATAGTTTGTTATAATCTCTGTTCTTTTACATTTGCTGAGTAGAGCTTTACTTCCAACTATGTGGTCAATTTTGGAATAAGAGCGATGTGGTGCTGAGAAGAATGTATATTCTGTTGATTTGGGGTGGAGAGTTCTGTAGATGTCTATTAGGTCTGCTTGGTGCAGAGCTGAGTTCAAGTCCTGGATATCCTTGTTAACTTTCTGTCTCGTTGATCTGTCTAATGTTGACAGGGGGGTGTTAAAGTCTCCCATTATTATTGTGTGGGAGTCTAAGTCTCTTTGTAGGTCTCTAAGGATTTGCTTTACGAATCTGGGTGCTCCTGTATTGGGTGTGTATATATTTAGGATAGTTAGCTCTTCTTGTTAAATTGATCCCTTTACCATTATGTAACGGCCTTCTTTGTCTCTTCTGATCTTTGTTGGTTTAAAGTCTGTTTTATCAGAGACTAGGATTGCAACCACTGCTTTTTTTTTGTTTCCCATTTGCTTGGTAGATCTTCCTCCAGCCCTTTATTTTAAGCCTATGTGTGTCTCTGCATGTGAGATGGGTCTTCTGAATACAGCACACTGATGGGTCTTGACTCATCCAATTTGCCAGTCTGTGTCTTTTAATTGGAGCATTTAGCCCATTTACATTTAAGGTTCATATTGTTATGTGTGAATTTGATCCTGTCATTATGATGTTAGCTGGTTATTTTGCTCGTTAGTTGATGCAGTTTCTTCCTAGCTTTGATGGTCTTTACAATTTGGCATGTTTTTGCAGTGGCTGGTACCGGTTTTTCCTTTCCATGTTTAGTGCTTCCTTCAGGAGCTCTTGTAAGGCAGGCCTGATGTTGACAAAAGCTCTCAGCATTTGCTTGTCTGTAAAGGATTTTATTTCTCCTTCACTTAGGAACCTTAGTTTGGCTGGATATGAAATTCTGGGTTGAAAATTCTTTTCTTTAAAAATGTTGAATATTGGCCCCCACTCTCTTTTGGCTTGTAGAGTTTCTGCCGCGAGATCAGCTGTTAGCCTGATGAGCTTCCCTTTGTGGGTAACCCAACCTTTCTCTCTGGCTGCCCTCAACATTTTTTCCCTCATTTCAACTTGAATCTGACAATTATGTGTCTTGGAGATGCTTTTCTTGAGGAGTATCTTTGTGGCATTCTCTGTATTTCCTGAATTTGAATGTTGGCCTGCCTTGCTAGGTTGGGGAAGTTCTCCTGAATAATATCCTGAAGAGTGTTTTCCAACTTGGTTCCACTCCCCGTCACTTTCAGGTACACCAATCAGACGTAGATTTTGTCTTTTCACATAGTCCCATATTTCTTGGAGGCTTTGTTCGTTTCTTTTTACTCTTTTTTCTCTAAACTTCTGTTCTCACTTCATTTCATTCATTTGATCTTCAATCACTGATACTCTTTCTTCCACTTGATCGAATTGGCTACTGAAGCTTGTGCATGCGTCACGTAGTTCTCGTGCCATGGTTTTCAGCTCCATCAGGTCATTTAAGGTCTTCTCTATGCTGTTTATTCTAGTTAGCCATTCATCTAACCTTTTTTCAAGGTTTTTAGCTTCTTTGCAATGGGTTTGAACATCCTTCTTTAGCTCGGAGAAGTTTATTATTACCGATTGTCTGAAGCCTTCTTCTCTCAACTCGTCAAAGTCATTCTCTGTCCAGCTTTATTCCGTTGCTGGTGGGGAGCTGCATTCCTTTGGAGGAGAAAGGGTGCTCTGATTTTTAGAATTTTCAGCTTTTCTGCTCTGGTTTCTCTCCATCTTTGTGGTTTTATCTACCTTTGGTCTTTGATGATGGTGACGTACAGATGGGGTTTTGGTGTTGATGTCTTTTCTGTTTGGTAATTTTCCTTCTAACAGTCAGGACCCTCAGCTGCAGGTCCATTGGAGTTTGCTGGAGGTCCACTCCAGACCCTGTTTGCCTGGGTATCACCAATGGAGCCTGCAGAACAGCAAATATTGCAGAACGGCAAATGTTGCTGCCTGATCATTCCTCTGGAAGCTTCGTCTCAGATGGGCACCTGGCCATATGAGGTGTCAGTCAGCCCCTACTGGGAGGTGCCTCCCAGTTAGGCTACTCGGGGGTCAGGGACCCACTTGAGGAGGCAGTCTGTCCATTCTCAGATCTCAAACTCCATGCTGGGAGAACCACTACTCTCTTCAAAGCTGTCAGACAGGGATGTTTAAGTCTGCAGAAGTTTCTTTTGTCTTTTGTTCAGCTGTGCCCTGCCCCCAGAGGTGGAGTCTACAGAGGCAGGCAGGCCTCCTTGAGCTGCAGTGGGCTTCACCCAGTTCGAGCTTCTGGGCCACTTTGTTTACCTACTCAAGCCTCAGCAATGAGGGGCGCCCCTCCCCCAGCCTCACTGCTGCCTTGCAGTTCAATCTCAGACTGTTGTGCTAGCAATGAGCGAGGCTCCATGGGTGTAGGACCCTCTGAGCCATGTGTGGGATATAATCTCCTGGTGTGCCGTTTGCTAAGACCTTTGGAAAAGCTCAGTATTAGGGTGGGAGTGACCCGATTTTCCAGGTGCCGTCTGTCACGGCTTCCCTTGGCTAGGAAAAGGAATTCCCCAACCCCTTGCACTTCCCAGGTGAGGTGATGTCTCACCCTGCTTCGGGTCATGCTCCGTGGGCTGCACCGACTGTCCTGCACCCACTGTCCAACAAGACCCAGTGAGATGAACCTGGTACCTCAGTTGGAAATGCAGAAATCACCTGTCTTCTGCGTAGCTCACGCTGGGAGCTGTAGACTGGAGCTGTTCCTATTTGGCCATCTTGGAACCTCAGATCCTAGTCAGTATCTTAACTTCGGTGACTCAAAGCTTACATGGTACTAATTGTGGGGGCATTAAAATCAGTGACTTTAGTTCACTGGCATTGGAAGCTGCAATAATTAGTGTAGAGAGCACTAGAAAGGCAAAATGCTGTTTACAAATCTGTAGTATTTAGGCAAAACGTTATTTAAATGAACTCTAGAAGGTGAAGTTTACAATAATAACAGCTACCATTTTTGGCTGAGCCCCCATATGTCAGGCAGTGTGCCAAGCACGTTTCTTTCCTCTAATTTTCACAGTTATTATCATACCCTGTTTTAGAGATGAGATTTTTTAAAAAAACTGTCAGGGAATTAAATAACTGGAGTTCAGCTTAATATTTGAACCATCTGGGTCTGTTTGACTCCGAAACCTATACTGCCTTTTAACTGTCTATAGGTAGGAAATATTAAAAGAAATAGTACAGAAGATGCCAAATTACCTTACACAGAATCCCATGCCAGTGATGAAAGGGACAAATAGAGCCCTTCAAATTTACTTGAAAACATCTTCAGTAGTAGCAAGACAGGGTAAGAAGCACAACCAAGGGAGTAGAATTATGCAGGCCATGTGCCTTTGTGTGGAATGTCAAGATAAGGCCTTTTTTAGAAGTCAGCATTTTCAGTCACCACTGTACTTATGTCAAAAAAAAAAAAAGAAAAGAAAAGAAATAAAAGGTGGAGAGTAGCTGGATGCCATACTGTGTGCCTACAATCCCAGCTGCTAGGGAGGTTGAGGCTGAAGGATTGTTTGAGCCCAGGGAGTCTGAGACCAGCCTGGGCAACATAGTGAGACTTGTCTCTACAAAAAATACAAAATTAGTTAGGTGTGGTGGCATGTGCCTGTAGTTCCAACTACTCAGGAGGCTGAGGTGGGAGGATCTCTTGAGTCCAGGAGGTCGAGACTGCAGTGAGCCATGATTGTGCCACTGCTCTCCAGCCTGGGCAACAGAGGGAGAACCTATAACTCCAAAAAAGAAAGAAAAAAAAGAAAAAGAAAAAAAAGTGTGAGTAAAAGCCAGGAAGCCTCCCATCATTTAAAAAAAATGGAGAAAAATTTCACATAGAAACATCATAAAAGACTATATATGGATACAGGAATGGCCAATAAGAACATGAAAGATCCTCACATCATGAGTCCCCAGAGAAATGTAATTAAAATCACATAGAGATTGATTTCACTACATACCTATTAGAATGCATACCTATTAGAATGGCTAACTGTGAAAAGACTGACACCACCAAGCACTGGCAGGACATGGTGCAGCTGAAATTCTTATATGCTGCTGGTGGGAATGTAAAATGGCACAACTACTCAAAGTCAAGTTGAACATACACTTACCAGTATGACCCAGTAATTCTAGATATTTAACCAAAAGAAATGAAAATACATGTCCTCCCAAAGACTTGTCCACTAATGTTCATGCAGCTTTATTCATAATAGCCCCAAATGGGAGACAATCTAAACATCCATCAACAAGTGAATGGGTGAATAAGCTGTGGTAAAGCCATTCAATAGAGTACTACCCAATAATAAAAAGCAATGAAGCATGCTACACACAAGAACATGGATGAATCTCAATACAATTATGCTGAGTAAAAAAAAAAAAAAAAAAAAAAAAGCCAAACAAAGCACAATATACTGTATGATTCCACTTAGGTGAAATCCTAGAAAAGACGAAACTTATCTATAGTGGCAGAAAGTAGGAATGACTGGGGGCATTTTGCGGGTGATGAAAATGTCATTTATCTTGGTGATAATTACGTGGATAGTTATATTTGCGAAGATTCACTGAACTATATGTATACTTTAACTGAGTGCATAGTATTATACTACAGGTAAATCATACATCAATAAAAATGACTTAAAGGCCAGGTGCAGTGGCTACCACCTATAATCCCAACACTTTGGGAGGCTGAGGCAGAAGAATCACTTCAGCCCAGGAGTTTGAGACTAGCCTGGGCAAGATGGTGAGACTCCATCTCTATAAAAATTTAAAAAATTAAAAGTTAGCTGGGCTGGCCGGGTGTGGTGGCTCATGTCTGTAATCCCAACACTTTGGGAGGCTGAGGCGGGTGGATCATGAGGTCAGGAGATCGAGACCAGCCTGACCAACATGGTGAAACCCCATCTCTACTAAAAACACAAAAATTAGCCAGGTGTGGTGGTGCCCACCTGTAATCCCAGCTACTCAGGAGGCTGAAGCAGGAGAATCGCTTGAACCCGGGAGGTGGAGGTTGCAGTGAGCCAAGATCATGTCACTGCACTCCAGCCTGGGTAACAGAGTGAGATTTCATCTCAAAACAAAACAAAACAAAACAAAACAAAACAAAACAAAAAATAGCTGGGCCAAAGGAAACTATCATCAGAGTGAACAGGCAACCTACAGAATAGGAGAAAATTTTTGCAACCTATCCATCTGACAAAGGGCTAATATCCAGAATCTACAAGGAACTTAAACAAATTTACAAGAAAAAGCAAACAACCCCATCAAAAAGTGGGCAAAGGATATGAACAGACACTTCTTAAAAGAAGACATTTATGCGGCCAACAAACTTAAGAAAAAAAGCTCAACATCACTGGTCATTAGAGAAATGCAAATCAAAACCACAACGAGATACCACCTCACGCCAGTTAGAACGGCAATAATTAAAAAGTCAGGAAACAACAGATGCTGGAGAGGATGTGGAAAAATAGGAATGCTTTTACACTGTTGGTGGGAGTGTCAGTTAGTTCAGCCATTGTGGAAGACAGTGTGGTGATTCCTCAAGGTTCTAGAACCAGAAATACCATTTGACTCAGCAATCCCATTACTGGGTATATACCCAAAGGAATGTAAATCATTCTACTATAAAGACACATGCACACGTATATTTATTGCAGCACTATTCACAAGAGCAAAGACTAGGAACCAACCCAAATGCCCATCAATGATAGACTGGATTAAGAAAATGTGGCACATATATACCATGGAATACTATGCACCCATAAAAAAGGATGAGTTCATGTTCTTTGCAGGGACATAGATGAAGCTGGAAACCATCATTCTCAGCAAAATAACACAGGAACAGAAAACCAAATACCACATGTTCTCACTCATAAATGGGAGTTGAACAATGAGAATGCATGGACACAGGGAGGGGAAGAGCACACACCGGAGCCTGTTGGGAGGTGGGAGACTAGGGGAGGGATAGCATTAGGAGAAAAACCTAATGTAGATGACGGGTTGATGGGTGCAGCAAACCACCATGGCATGTGTATACCTATGTAACAAACCTGCATGTTCCGCACTTGTATCCCAGAACTTAAAGTATTATAATAAAAAAATTTTTTTTTTAAATTAGCTGGGCATGGTGATGCACACCTGTAGTCCCAGCTACTGAGGAGGGTGAGATAGGAGGATCGCTTGAGCCTAGGTGTTTGGGGTTGCAGTGAGCTATGATCACACCACTGCACTCCAGCCTAGGTGACAGAGACAGATCCTGTCTCTATAAAAAAGAAAAAAAAAGAAATGATTTTTGTTGTTGTGTTTTGTTTATTGTTTTTTGTTTTTGAGACAGAGTCTTGCTCTGTTGCCCAGGCTGGAGTGCAGTGGCGCAATCTTGACTCAACTGAAACCTCCGCCTCCCGGGTTCAAGCGATTCTCCTGCCTCAGCCTCCCGAGTAGCTGGGATCGCAGGCGCCCACCACCACGCCTGACTAATTTTTGTATTTTTAGTAGAGACACGGTTTCACCATCTTGGCCAGGCTGGTCTTGAACTCCTGACCTCGTGATCCACCCACCTCGGCTTCCCAAAGTGCGAGGATTGCAGGCGTGAGCCACCGTGCCCGGCCAATAAATGATTTTTAAAAGAAAGAGAAAGTGTGGGCAAGCAAGCTAAGCCAGAGTCAAGTAACCTAGACTAGGTCACTCACTAAAAGCACTGGCCATATGACAATTTAAAGCAGAGGTAATCAGAGCCCACTGTGAATATTTCAGACTGATCCTGAAACGGGAAAGCTGCTGATGCTCACCGAATAGAGAAAGTTCTTAAGCAAGGGCAAGAAGCTGAGAAAGGAGGTGGAGGCCAAGGTGGAGGTACAGGCTGTCTGAGCCCTTGGCTCCTGGCTCTTACAGGGCATACCAATAACTGCCCCCTTCCCTTTGGTCTTTTTTATTCAAGCTACTTTGCATTTTCTGTCATTTGCCACCAGAATAGTTCTTGTTTGACTAGAACACTGAGCTTTGAAGAAAGCGTATCCCAGACTCTGGCCTGGTCCAGCAGCCAAGAAGGAGGGAAGATGAATGAGGAGGCTGAAATGGGCAGCTCTTGTCTCTGGTTTATAAACACAGGGTGAATTGGGTAAATGAACTTTTGGTCAGAGCCTGACATTGCCAGGACGAGAGACAGAGGAAGAATAGCAGAAGCCCTACTCAAGAAGAATTTAGGAACGATCCCAGCGGGGCTGCACTCTGGGTTTCCTTGTGACTGCAGTTCAACTACAACTGTGCTCTGCCTTCCAGCCTTCCCTAGCCCCAGCAGAGCTCCCTGTGTGGCCCCACGTGGCCGTGCTGAGCCAGGGAGGGGCCACCACAGCATCCCCTTCCCTTCCTGCCTTCCTCTTGCTCTGCCCTTCACCCCTCACCCCACATAAGATACCCTACCCCAGAAATTATTTACAACAGCCTCAGACGTGACAGAACCAGGGCTGGACAGAACCAACAGTTGCTGAGCCAGGGAGGGCTCTTCACATGCATGAGTTCATTGACTTCGCATCACTCCCTTCCTCAAATCACCCCGCCAAGAGCCCTGGAGGAGCCCACCCTCGCAAAACAGGAAGGGGCCCCTTGCATTTATGTGCAGATTTTTACCGGTGTAACTCACCTGTGCCTAGAGCTCTGCATGCCACTAGATACAGTATCTCATTTTCACAGCAATTGTGTTTGTTGTGAAAACGCAATTATTAGTGAATGAAACCAGCTCAGAGATGTCAAGGGAGAGCTCAGAGTCACACAGCAGTGAGTGACAGGTGGATCTCATTCTATGGTGATAGTTTTTTCCCCTATATCTCTCTACCTCTCTGTTGTATGGTAAAAGTACTGGAAGCACTGTCCAGTTTGAGGCGAGAAAAACCCTTCTGGTTAGATGTTAGGCACACCTGACATGTGTCCTGCCTGCTCCTCCCCCTCACTTAATAATAACCCTTAAGCCCCAGGGGGAAAAAATCCCTTCTCTCCTCTAACCCCATTTCTTTCACTGTAAACGAGATCAACAGCCTCTAGTTCAGGGGTCATGAACTTATTCTGTCACGGGCTAAAGAGTAAATACTTTAGTCTCTGTGGCAACTCCTCAACTCTGACCTTGAAGCCTGTGAAAGTTGATCATACAGAAGTGGGTTATTTTTGTCATACCCAACTAAAACACAGTGAGAAGTCAGGGGCAAAAAAGCACTCAGGGCACATAGCACTGCTCCACATGTGAAATTCTTCGCAAGCCTGGCTGCTGAAACTGCCTGTTGTAAACTGAGACCAGGTGTAGTTAACAGCTGCTGAAACCTGCTGTGACTCGAAGGCTAATTTTACCTGTTATAGTCCCTCACTAGTCAGGATCTGCCAGTTCCCCAAAATTTTACTTTTGCCAATGAACTTTCTAGAAGAACATTTCTCCTTTCTATGAAACCTCCAATCTTCTCTTTGTCCTTTGGACATATAGAAGACCACCCAGTCTGTGTGTATGCTCAGAATTTCAATTCTTGCTTCCCAAATAAAATGTTTTAAACTTAGGGATATTTGACTTGGACAAGCCTGAAAGCTGTCATATAGACAATATTTAACCGAATGATCATGATTGCATTCTAATAAAATTTTATTTATGGACACTGAAATTTGAATTTTATATAATTTTCATGTCACATATATTGCTCTTTTGATTTCCCCCTCAATCTTTTTTTTTTTTTTTTTTTTTTTTGACAGAGTCTCACTCTGTCGGCCAGGCTGGAATGCAGTGGCGTGATCTCGGCTCACTGCAACCTCCCTCTCCTGGGTTCAAGAGATTCTCATGCCTCAGCCTCCGGAGTAGCTGGGACTACAGTCTCCCGCCACCACACCCGGCTAATTTTTGTATTTTTAGTAGAGACGGGGTTTCATCATGTTGGCCAGGCTGGTGTGGAACTCCTGACATCAGGTGATACACCGCCTCGGCCTCCCAAAGTGTCGGGATTACAGACCTGAGCCACCGCGTCTGGCCTTTCCCTTTCAACCATTTAAAGATGTGAAAAGCATTCTCTCATCTGGGTGTATACAACATCAAGCCGCAGACAGGATTTGGCCAGCTAGTCATAGTCTGCAATCCTCTCCCTAGTCAATGGGGTTTCTGCGAGGACCTAAGTGTCAGGTGCGCCGGCGTGGAGAAAGCACTTTCAGGGGTGCATCGCAGCCCCGCAGGCCCGCTGACTGTCCGGTTGTCGCGCAGGGTCCCGCTGTGACCGACCCGCTGCTTGCACCCAGTGCCTCCCCGGAGCACCTTGCAGCGCCGGCCCCCACCTCGACTCCCAGCGCTCACTTACTCAGGGCCCCGGCGCACAGCAGGGCGCAGATAGCGAGCCTCATTCTCCGTGGCTGGCGCGCGTCACCCACCCCACTCTCGCGCCTCGTCCGGCTTTACCCCGCCGGAGCAAGCAGCGCCTCTTGGGAAAGGTTCGCCCACCAGGGCTGATAGCCCTCGCCACTCCTCGCACTCCTCCCTTGGGGCAGCCAGCGAGCAGCTTGTGCCCTCCGTGGGACCGGAGGGCTGCAAGATGCAAGCCTCTCTCCCGCCCCCTTCCCAGCCCCGGGGTCTGCAAGGCTGCACTTCGGGGAAGGGGGCAGCACCCCGGAGCCTGAGCAGCTTCGGAGCGCACTAGTCTGGCCGCTTTACAACCCAGAGAGAGATCCGCGGGGGTTCCCAGGTGAGTTGCTATACGCAGGTTTCTGACCCCTGGACCCTCATCTAGCCCAGCAGCTCCTAAACGTCTCAAAAATACAAAAGCTTAGGGATTCGGGGGCTGTCCATAGGGTGAAAACCGTGGGCTCTTCCCCTGGAAAGCACGCGCTCTCATATACCCAACGTTTTGAACACAATTCTCAAGGATTCTCAGATTCTTCCTCCCAAATGGGTCTCCATCGAGAGAATGGACCACTCCTGGGTCCTCTCGGAAACTCTACCCAAATGACACTGTCCCCAGCAGCCCTCTGCTCCGGGAGGCCAAGGTCAGGTGAAGCGCTGAACCCAGAGAGGGCGGCCTCTCCTCGCCCCTGCAGCCCGATCCTGCTCAGGTCTGTGACTTCTGCCTGGGGAAAATCTGAATTTAAATACAATTTTAAGAACTTTTAATTAAAGTATAATAAATATGCATAGAACGTCACATGTTCTAAATAAATGTACGGCTTAATTATCATCAAATGAACACACCCACATAACCAGCACCCACATCAAGAAACAAAACGTTAACAAACAAAGCTGGCACAACCCCCTCCCACAAAGGTACCCATTATCTTGACTTCTAACACATAGACTAATTCTGCTGATTTTTGAGCTTTATGCAGATGGAATCATACCATACGTACAATTCTGTGTTTGACCTCTTTCACTGGAGATGCTATGTGTGAGATTCACCTATGTTGTTTATAGTTGCCCTTTATTCATTATCAGCGTTGCACATTCTACACTGTGTATGCAGCACATTTTATCTTTCCTCTTGATCGTTGTAGTCTTCAGTGGGCTCTTAAGGATAGTGCTGCTGTGGATATAATTTTAACTGTATTTTCTATCTGTTGCTGGTATCTGAAAAAAACAATTGGTTTTCGTATATTGACCTTGAATCCAGTGATCTTGCTGAGTTGTCTTATTAGTTGGAATTGCTTCCTTCCTATGCACATCCTTATATCTTATATGAATAAGGTCAGTTTTGTTTTTTCCTTTCAGATCCTTAGGAATCTCTTTCCTCTTGACTTACTGCACTGGCTAGAACTCACATTACATTCTACTACATGTCTTTTCGTGCACTTAGGGATGCATCACTGCAGGGTTTCCCCATACATCATGAAGTAGATGTACGTTCAGCTTTAATAGTTACTGCCGAACTATTAATACAAAATTGAGTAGAAGGGTGATAGGGAAAGTTTTCAATAATTCTCCATTATGCAAAATTTTTGCTGGTGTTTTGTTTTGTTTTAAATATTATTAACCATATTAAGGAACTTTCCTTCCTTCCTGGGTTGCCTAAATTTTTTAAAAATCATGAATGGGTATTGCATTTTGTCAAGTATTTTTTCTGCACCTAAGATACTCATATGATTCCCTTTTCTTTTATATTAATGTGGTAAACTTCTCTTATTCTCTTTTTTCTTTCTTTTTCTTTCTCTTTCTCTCTTCTTTCCTTTTTCTGTCCCCCTCCCCTTCCCTCCCCTCCCCTTCCTTTCCCTCCCCTTCCCCTCCCTTCCCTCTTGCTTGGGTCCTGCTCTATTGCCCAGGCTGGAGTGCAGCTGTGGGATCATAGTTCAGTGAAGGCTCCACCTCCTAGGCTCAAGTGATCCTCCCTCCTCAGCCTCCCAAGTAGCTGGGGCTACAGCAGTGCACCACCACGCTGGACTCCTTTAATTGATTTTTAAATGTTGAACTACTCTTACATTCCTGGAATAAACCCCACTTGGCTATTACGTATAACATTTTTTTACATATTGCTGAACTTGATTACTTTTTTTTTTTTTTTTAGGATTTTTTGCATTTGTGTTCGTGAGAGAAATCATTCTGCAGGTTTCTTTATCTTAATGTCACTAAAAGTTTGGTTGCAAGGTTTTAATTGCTCATAAAATTAATTGGAATATGTTACTTCTTTTCTTATTCTCTGGAAGATACTGTGTAAGAATAGCATTCTTTCTTTCTTAAATGTTCGGAAGGCCTCACCAGTGAAGCCACCTGTGTTTAGAGTTTTACTTGTGGAAAAGTTTTTGATAACAGATTGAGTTTCTTAAATAGCTAGAGAAATATCCAGATTTTATGATCCTTCAAGTTTCAATATTGGTAAGTTTTTTGTTAAAGAAATTTGTCCATTTTATCTAATTTTCAAATTTATTGATATAAAATCATTCATGATCTTATCCTTTGACATTTTTAGTATATGGTATTTAGTATTTTCATTGCTGATATTAGTGATTTATGTTTACTACTTTCCTTGATTAGTATTGCCAGGATTTTACCTATTTCATTAATCTTTTCAGAGAATCAACCTTGGCTTTGCTGTTTTTCTCTATTGTACATTCATTTATTGTTTCATTGATTTCTGCTCTGTTGACTTTGAATTTTGGTCTTTCTCTAGCTTCTTTATTCTTTCTTTCCTTCTTCTCCTTTTTCTTCTTCTTCTTTTTTTTTTTTTTTCTTTTGACAGAGTCTCACTCTATCGCCCAGGCTGGAGTGAAGTGGCAAGATTGCGGCTCATTGTAACCTCCGCCTCCTGGGTTCAAGTGATTCTCCTGGCTCAGCCTCCTGAGTAGCTGGGATTACAGGCATTAGACAGAGCACCCGGGTAATTTTTATTTATTTTTATTTTTTAGTGGAGATGGAGTTTCACCATATTGTTCAGGCCAGTCTCGAACTCCTGGCCTCAAGTGATCTGCCTGCCTTGGCCTCCCAAAGTGCTGAGATTACAGCTGTGAGCCACCATGCCTGGCCTCTCTTGCCTTTTTTTTTCTTTTAAGGCAGTTAAGGTCACTGATTTTTCAGCCTCTCTTCTCTATTACATGTGATAAAGGCTATAAATTTGCCTATAAGTATTCCTTTTCTTGATATATTATAACTTCATGGTTATTCAGTTCAAAATATATTCTAATTTTATTGTGATTTCTTATTCAACTCATGGTTTATTGAGAAATGTATTGCTTGATTATCCAGGTGGGCCAATATCCTCACAAGGGTTCTTTAAATGTAGAAGCAGAGCCTCCAGAAAGGAACTCAGCCCTGCTGACATCTTGATTTAAGCCCAGTGAGATCCACTTCAGACTTCTGACCTCCAAAACTGTAAGATATTAAGTTTTGTTACAGTAGTAACAGGAACCTCATATACTTGATATATTTATTGGAGCCTCTTCAAGGTGTGGCATTATCTTTTTATCTCCCATTCCATGGAACTTCAAATTGTGCCAAGTATCTTAAGGAGAAAACTGGCCCTTTGTCAAGCTTAGTTCTCTGCTCCTCCCTTCTCAATGGGATCTTGCCTCCACTTCTGTTTTTCCAGCCCTGAGACTGCCATCAGTTCGGCTGGCTTCTCTGTAAGCCAGCAGTGACCCTCTGCTCAGGTAAAGCCAGATTCCCCCTGGCCATGTGCCGAGTGGTTCATCTTTAACTGTCCTGGCTCTCCCTTCACTTACTCATACATTTGAAAGGAAATAGGATCTATGAGCGCAGAGATCACTTTTTTCTTGTCCAACATTCTAACACAAGGTTGGAAAATACTGTCTGCTATAGTATTGGGCTCAAAAAATCAAACAGATCAATAAATGCACACAAATGTCTCAAAAGTGGGTTGAGCAATCTCCTATGCAGGCCTATGGACAAAAACCAAATAAAGTCCAGAGGTGATCATTCCTTCTAAGGTTAATTATTCACCTAAAACTAACACAGCCTAAATCCAATAGCAGCCACTGTGCCCCCGACCCTAGATTAGATCAAACTCTGAAAACTTCGTGTGTACTGGGACAAAGTGATATTGCAAAGATAGGACATCCAAAGTGCTAAAGTCATTTCTGTGCTTTGGTACAGGCTCTCATAAATAGCAAAGCAGAAGGTTAGATGCTTGTATGGTGGAAAACAGTTTTAAAACTTCACGGCAAAGATGGTCTTTGGAAAACTTGGGATTTATAGATTTATTAGTGTGTACCAGGCATTGTACTAAGTGCTTCCCAAATGTTAAATGATAGTAACCCCATAAGGCTATTGCCATCCTCTTTTTGTACAGAGAGACAGTGAAGCACAGAAAGGTTAACCAGTGACTTGCCCAAGGTCAGGTAGCTAGTAGGTGTCCAAGCTGGCATTCAAACTAGGCAGCCTGCTTCCATAGTCCATGCTGTTTCTCATGTGGCCTCTGACATTTGTCTCTGGAGCAATTTCACACTTTCCCCTTTCCAAGGCATCTTGAAGTAATAACGGCATGGGGCACCATGTTTGTTTAAACTGTTTCCAAGTTCAGAATTGGTTGGATTTAACTGTCCTGGCTCTCCCTTCACTTATTCATACATTTGAAAGGAAATAGGGTCTATGAGGGCAGAGATCAAATTTTCTTGCCCAACATTCTAATATAAGGTTGGAAAATAGTGTCTCACAAATAGCACTAACTGCTATAATAGCAAAGCTCCAAAATCTTAATGGTTTAACACAATAGGAGTTGACCTCTTAGTAACATAAAGCCCATCTGGCAGCAATCGTGGTGATTTGTTAGGGTGGGAGTGGGGAGTTCACTTTCATAGCTCCATTCAGTCATTCAGAGATCCAGGCTGAGAGAGGTTCTGCCATTTTCAACACATGGCTTCCAAGATTGCTCTGTGTGTTGATATTCAAATGACAGAATAAGGAAGAGCGTGGAAGGTAGTGCAAGAAATTTCCTTGGATCAAGCTCGGATGTGACAAACATCACTTCTACCTATATTCTATTGGCCATAACTCAGTCCCATGACCCCACCAATTGTAAAGAGGATGGGAACCATAGTCTCTGGCTAGGAAACTACTTCTCAGCAACAGCAAAACACTATGAAAGGGGAGCACATGTCTGGGGTCTTTTGTCTTAGTTTGAGCAGACCCAGAAAACAGACTTTTAGACAAGCCTTCTCAGATGTTTTATTTGACAAGTAAAGAAACACAGGCAAGACAGTAGAGATGTGGCTGGGCACGGTGGCTTATGCTTGCAATCCCAGCACTTTGGGAGGCCTAGGTGGGTGGATCGCCTGAGGTCAGGAGTTTGAGACCAGCCTGGCCAATATAGTGAAACCCCGTCTCTACTAAAAATACAAAAAATTAGCCAGGTGTGGTCGCAGGCACCTGTAATCCCAGCTACTCGGGAGGTCAAGGCAAGAAAATCGCTTGAACCCGGGAGGCGGAGGTTGCAGTGAACTGAGATCGCGCCATTGCACTCCACCCTGGACAACAGAGCAAAACTCCGTCTCAGAAAAAAAAAGAAAAAAGAAAATAGAGATGTGAGACAGGGAGAAAGGCATCCAAAGAATGTGTTAACAAGTCAGATGCCACTGTGGACACTGGGACTTAATTCCCCTGAGGAAACTATGAGAGTCAGAGTGGATGTCCCATCCACGGGACATGCAAACAAGGGTTTTTGTGCACCAACTCCTGTCAGCCATCATTTAAGGGGTTTTTTTCCCTATAGGTCATAAATCCTCTAGCCCTCTGGCCTACTGTGCAGGTGGCAGAGCAGATTCCTGGTGCCAGAGAATGCCTTCATGCAATGAACACAGATGCTGGCAGCTGGAAGTTTCCTAATGTGCATGAGTGCTAAGGGTGAGGGGGTATGGGTGGGACACTAAGGGTTTCTACATGGTCTCTGCCAGAATCCAGACATGTTTTTTTCCCTCCCTGCCCAAGCACACATCTGCTACACACTGGGGAATGGGGAGGCACAAACAGAATAACAACAATAAAACTCCCTTTCAGAAAAGGGAGGAGTGGAGACCCATAGCCATCATTGGTCAGTATCAATTTTGAAGTTGGGCAGGCACTAGGAGGCTCTCGATTGGGGGTTCTGATTAGATCAGATTCTGTTCTGTGACAGGAGCTCCTTTGCTCGTTGCTCTCCAGGATCCCTGGTACCTCCTTCTGGGAGGATCTTCATTTTCTATTACCCTCTCTATCCATATCTGAATACTGAGGAGTTTGTGCTCCTTGGGGCTGTATGACTTTCCACCTACTTGTGCTGCGAAAATTTGAGGATTAAATCAAAGTCTGAATACTCCAGGTTTCTGGTTGGGTTCAGAAAGCAATTATCTCAAAATGTTCGTAACCTTCAGATCTATTTGGTTCCAGTCAGTTTCACGTGGTAATTGTCAACCTCACACATACAAAACAAGGTCAAGGGTAGGGCCTGATTCCACCAGTGAACATACTTGAGACATTTTTAGATTTAGATGGTTTATTACTTCCATAGATAGCAACAGAGAAGAATAAGTGAAAGATGTCTTCTCCCTGGGTCTGATGATTGCAATGCGAGTTGTAGGATACTCTATTACTAAGGAGTCAAATCTAGATGGCAGCTAGTGCTTTTATATTCTGCAGGCCTATCATGAGGGGAGTGGGGCAGAAAGCCCCATATCTCATCAAAACCTGGGAGGTGATGAGAAACTATGTCATGACAGCCTCTTAGGAGAGATAGAAAGGTGAGTGAGAGATGCCTTTCTAGTAGCTCCTTAGACACCTCCCTTAAGGATGACAAGGTGTTGTGCCAGGGCTCAGATAAGTTGCAATTCAAGCCTTTGCCTCTATTGATATGTGTAAGCTTATCAATAGAGGAAGTCATGGCAGAGCTGTTCTTCTACAGAAGTAGTCCCCTCCCTAGTTCTTTCCTAGACATAATTTTCAAACCTGATTGCTATCTTTGGCCCCATACCTCTCTCTCTCTCTCTCAGTTGATGGTGCCTACCTAGCTTGGGTGACAGGACCATATTCTTTAACTAGATCTTTTCCACATGGTCGGGTTGTAATGGACATTTGTTGCTCAAAACCTTTCTCAGGTTTATCTCTTGTTTTTAGGACACAGATGAAGTCAGCTTTTCCAACCTTGCAAAATCTCACATACTTGGGTTTTTTTTTTTTTTTTTGAGTCAGAGTCTTGCTCTGTCACTCAGGCTAGAGTGCAATAGTGAGATCATAGCTCACTGTAACCTCAAACTCCTGGGCTCAAGCAATCCTCCCACCTCAGCCTCCCAGTACCTGGGACTACAGGTGTGTGTCCTCCACACTCAGTTAATTTTAAAAAAAAACAACAAAACTTTTTTTTAGAGACAAGATCTGGCTGTGTCGCCCAAGCTGGTCTTGAATTCTTGGCCTCAAGCAATTCTCCTGCCTCAGCCTTCCAAAGTGCTAGGATTACAGGTGTGAGCCACTGCATCCGGCCTGGATTTTTTTTTTTTTCTTTTTCTGAGACAGTGTCTCGCTCTGCTGCCCAGGTTGGAGTGCAGTGGCACGATCTCAGCTCACTGCAAGCTCCACCTCCCAGGTTCACGCCATTGTCCTGCCTCAGCCTCCCGAGTAGCTGGGACTACAGGCGCCCGCCACCACGCCTGGCTAATTTTTTGTATTTTTAGTAGAGACGAGGTTTCACTGTGTTAGCCAGGATGGTCTCGATCTTCTGACCTCATGATCTACCTGCCTCAGCCTCCCAAAATGCTGGGATTACAGGCATGAGCCACCATGCCTGGCCAGGCCTGAATTTTTAAATTCTCTTTATTTTTGTTTGCAAACAGGCCAATTCCCTGAGCTTGTCTTTTGCTTATCTAATTAAATGCAGCCAGTAGCAACCCACATAGAATAGAATGTGCTAATGACATTCTATTTTACCTCCTCTTTGCTAGAGGAGACTTAGTAGGCCTATGTTCTATCTTCCAGGTTACTGAAGACAATAGTTTAAACAAATGTTTTGCTAATCAGACTATTTCTGTAGCGATAATATCATTTGCTAATTTCACTTCTAAATTGTACATTCAAGGCCGGGTGCGGTGGCTCATACCTGTAATCCCAGCACTTTGGGAGGTCGAGGTGGGTGAATCACAAGATCAGGAGTTCAAGACCAGCCTGGCCAATATGGTGAAACCCCATCTCTACTAAAAATACAAAAATTAGCCAGGCATGGTGGCACATGCCTGTAGTCCCAGCCACTCAAGAGGCTGAGGCAGAAGAATCGCTTGAACCCAGGAGGCGGAGGTTGCAGTGAGCCGAGATCATGCCACTGCACTCTAACCTGGGCGACAGAGCGAGACTCCATCTCAAAACAAAAACCAAAGCAAATTGTACATTCATTTATTTATACGTATTTATTCATTTACAGCATTGGAAACAAACATAAAACTCTATAACTCAAAAAACCTATTTTTAGTTTGGCTTTAATTTTGAGAAATATTATCTATGTAGTAAAATATAATAATAAATATTCATATTCCCACCACCCACATTGTAAAAGTAACTATTTTGTCATATTTGTTTCCTGTGTTTTCTTTCCCGTTCTTTTTTTTTTTTTTTTTTTGAGATGGAGTTTCGCTCTTTTTGCCCAGGCTGGAGTGCAATGGTGCAATCTCGGCTCACCACAACCTCCGCCTCCTGGGTTCAAGCAATTCTCCTATCTCATCCTCCCGAGTACAGGCGCCTGCCACCATGCCTGGCTAATTTTTTTTATTTTTAGTAGAGATGGGTTTCTTCATGTTGGTCAGGCTGGTCTCGAACTCCCGATCTCAGATGATCTGCCCACCTCGGCCTCCCAAAGTGCTGGGATTACAGGCATGAGCCACCACTCCCGGCCTCCTTTTCCATTCTATAAACAGATAAAGTTGCCCATAATGTCACCCCAAGCAGGGTCTGGAGAGACTGGCTCTAGGTGACAGAAGTGCCAGAGAAACAGGAAACTGATCCTAAATGCCAGGAAAGTGAGGGAAAAGTTAATTCCCTACCCCAACTACATTTTTTTTTCTTTTTCTTTTTTCTTTTTTTTTTTTTTGAGATAGGGTCTCACTCTGTTATCCCAGGCTGGAATGCAGTGGCATGATCATGACTCACCACAGCCTTGACCTCCTAGGCTCAGGTGATCCTCCCACCTCAGCCTCCTGAGTAGCTGAGACTACAGATGCCCGCCACCACGTTCAGCTCATTTTTGTATTTTTTGTAGAGATGAGGTTTCACCATGTTGCCCAGGTTGGTCTCAAAGTCTGGGGCTCAAGCAATCTGCCCACCTTGGCCTTCCAAAGTACTAGGATTACAGATGTGAGCCATAGCACCCGGTCCCCAGCTTCTTTTTTAAAAAAGTTTGTAAATATTAGAGATGGGGGTTCTTGCTACGTTGCCTAGGCTGGTCTCGAACTCTCAGCCTCAAGTGATCCTCCAGCCTGGGCCTCCTAAAGTACTAGAATTACAGGCGAGAGTCACCACGACCGGCAAATATGGAATGCTTCACAAATTTGCATGTCATCCTTGCACATGGGCAATGCTTATCTCTGTATCATTCCATTTTTTTTTCAGTAAACATGCTGCCAAAGTAAGCACCGAAACCTCAGCTTCCGAGGGCATATCATAACCTTTCCCTGTTTTCACCAAAGTCTTCAGGGACCACAAACCCATATACAGTTAGTTCCTTGTATCTGTGGGTTCCACATCTGAGGAGGTCAACCAACCGGGGATCAAAAATATTCAGAAAAAAAATACAATTTTTATGTAAAATTTGCCATAGTAGAAAAAATACAACAATAAAAAAACAAAATTTAAAAATACAGTATAACAAACGTTTACATAGTATTTACATAGCATCAGGTATTATAAGTAACCTAGTGATTATTTAAAGTACATGGGAGTGGCCAGGCGCAGTGACTTATGCCTGTAATCCCAGCACTTTGGGAGGCTGAGTCAGGTGGATCACGAGGTCAGGAGTTAAAGACCAGCCTGGCCAACAAGGTGAAACCCGTCTCCACTAAAAATGCAAAAATTAGCCGGGTGCGATGGCAGACGCCTGTAACCCCAGCTACTTGGGAGGCTGAGGCAGGAGAATCGCTTGAACCCCGGGGGTGGAGGTTGCAGTGAGCAGACATTGTGCCAACTGCACTCCAACCTGGACAACAGTGAGACTCCGTCTCAAAAAAAAGAAAAAAAAAGTACATGGGAGTATGTGCACAGGTTATATATAAGGTACTTGAGCATCTTCAGATTTTGTTATCTGTAGGGGGCCTTGGAATCAATCCTCCGTGGATACTAACCATTTCACCCTTTCCTGAAGGACTGCTGTTCAAGCAAACTTTAATGTGTACCAAAATCACCTGAAGGGCACAGATTGCTAGCCCTACCCCAAGTGCTCCTGACTTAATAAGTCTGAAGTGGAGCCCAAGAATTTTCATTCCCCCAAAATTCCCAGGAGATGCCGATGCTGCTGGTCCAGACACTACACATCAGAACCACTGCTTTATCCATTTTCCAGGAGTAGATACTAGAGACAGACCCTCTCTGCTTATCTGGAGACACAAGATGGGAGAACTTGCCCCCTAGTGGTGAACTCTTACTCTAAAGACAGGTCACTCCTCTGGTATCAAGTTCCGGCTGGGTAAAAGCTAAAGGGTGCATTTTCTTCATCTTCATTAGCAGCATCTATGAATCTCCTTCTCTTGTGAGGTCTCTACTTGGCCCAGAAATGCCAGGAATGGGCTCCCTCCCCGGTGTGGAACTTCACACAGAGATGGGCAGACAGCACGTGCCCAGGAGCAGTGTGGTGTGTCAGGAAAGGCACGGGCAAGTGACACAGTCCCTGAACTTCACTTTCCCCATCTCCATAACATGAGACAATGATACCCATCTATTATAGGGTTGCTGAAAAGAGTAAACGGGAATAGTGTGAGCAGGAGTCCCATGTTAACTGTAAAGTGCCCTAGAAATATTAATTGTTATTACAGATTCAGGTCAGATTTGCACCTTAACAATTAACTGTGGTTTCTTTTTTTTCCCACCTCTAGTGATTTTTGTTTTTTTGCTTTTAAGGCTTTCTTCACCCTTCCCCCAGCAATAGGCCTTTACCTTTGAGCCCCAGTGTTAATTGATTCTGACTCATTTCTGGTAAAAAAAAAAAAAAAAAAAAATTAATGATATTTATTAAAGCACAGTAAGACAGATTTTATTCCGGACCATCAGGATAGGTATAGCAACCATGGCAATGGGATTCTGAATTAGGAGAGAGAGAGTGGGCTCAACTCTAAATACACCATGGGCAAGTGGGAATTTATAGCCAAGGAACAAAAAGCTTGGGGTCACTGGATAAAAAATTACTAAGAAGGAACTTCAGGAGTAAAGGGGTTTCTTGCTGAAAATAGGTCAAGGTGATCAGACATCACCTTGGATGGTAGAGGATGAGGAACCTGATCAGATATTGAGGGTAGAGGGTTCTAACTGGATTTTCCAAGGAAATGCACAGATAAACCTACGAGAAGGTTGAGGAGTCTGACTAAAGTTTGGCCAAGCAAAGAATCTTTGTCACCTTCCATCGGTGTATTCAAAAACTTAAGACTCAAGCTGCTCATTACTATCTTTAGGCTCTAAAAAGAAAAGAAAAACAAAAACAATCAAGGGACATGGCATTATACTTTTACATTAGTAAATCCAAAGTCATTTTCTCAATCTCAGCAGTGAATAATAAAATGATCCTCATTAGTATAGTGGCTAGATTTTATAAAATAAGAAAAAATTTTTTTAAAAAAGAATAAAATGAAAAGAAGCAACAACGAATCAGTTTTCCGCTGGTTATCACTAAGGTTTGCAGGCCCATCTTATCCCCTCTCCCTTTGCTCTCTGCCATCTGAATCTTAGGTTCAGTCCCAGAATCTCCCCAGTACTGAGGCAGATGCAGAGAAAGAGAACGGCGATGTCCACTGAAGGGGAGGAGGAGGGGAGACCATTGAAGATCTTGACAAAGATCCCTTTGCATTAGCTGTGTAATAAGTCATCCTTTCTTCCCTTGCCATCTTGTGGCTGTGTTAGGCGGTGATTCTATTCCTGCTGTGTTGGAGGGAAACCACCCAGTCCGTAGTCAGAAGACCTGGATGCAGTATTAATTCTACCACCTACTAGCCGTGTGCCCTTGAACCCATCATTTAACTTCCTCCGTTTTTACATCTACAAAATGGAACTACCACTATTTGCCTCACGGAATTGTTTTGGATAATACCTTTTCCCGTGCATGCCTGGTATAAGACAGGTGTAAAATAAATATCTATTGAGGAAATCCTTTCTTTCCCTGGCTTTTTTAACAGTAAAGGAGTATTCCTGGCCTGTGGTCCTACCTCTTGAACCGACGGCGCTGGGCCTACTCGCAGCGGAGACTAGGCCCGCCCAGCAAAGCCCTAAACCCAAAGGGTCCGGCCCAAGCTTTCCCTGAAGCCCCACCGCCCACAGACTGCTCACCTCCACGTTTGACATTTCCGCTCTTCTGCTGCAGCTGCCGATGGCGTCACTTCCACCGGAAAAGGCAAGCGCGGCCGCGCGGTTGGCGCGAAAGTCGGTTCCCGTTCTGGGCAATTTCCGGGTTCTCCAGCGTTTGCTTTGGGGTAGGGGCGGCGCCGAGTCGGGGGAGGGGGCTGTGCGCCGGGCTGGCGCCCGACCCCAGCCACCGCCCTGCGGCCAGCGCGTCCCCCGACTCGCCGCCCGGAGACCCCGAGGCTCCAACGAGGTAAGTGAGGCGCGGAGTGGGGACACAGCTCCTCCCCAGCCCCAACTGGGGTTCGCGATGCCTTCTGTGGCCTTCAGGACCCTCTTTTCCTGTCCTGGTAACTGGCCCTGGAGCCGGCGGGTGGGCCTTTGACGCCGAGAGGACGTGGCTTCCGTGATCCCAGAGCCAGGCCTTTTCCTGGAGATGGGAACCGGAGCATCTAGCCTTATGCAGGGCCAAGACCATGCTAACTGGCTTCCATGTTTATATTTAAAATCTGTTTACTGAGGGATGAACGTACCTCGCAGGCCGTGGGTATCCGCAGGGACAGATACACTCTGTGTATCCTTAAAACAAGTGCAATTGAATGTCCATTGGCCTAAAGGGCTTAGAGCCTTCATAGCAGGGCCTTCCTCAGTGTATTCAATTCGGGTTAATTTTGCTGTCTGATTTGCAAGGATTGGTGTTGTCATCTTTTACCTTGGCTTTGTCCAAGTTCCAGGATTTCTTAGAAATGCCGTTGACGAATTCACGGGCAGAGCCAGAATGTCTGTCTTTAGGCATTCTTGTCTGCACAGAAAAATAGGTAGGTTAAACATGCAACTTTTTATCTAATGTGGTTTTGTTCTTGTTAATGGTTCCTTTATTTTGACAGTTCAGAAATGTCCAGAAATGACAAAGAACCGTTTTTTGTGAAGTTTTTAAAGTCTTCAGACAATTCCAAATGTTTTTTTAAAGCTCTCGAGGTAAGAGTTGAAAACATCTTAATACCGTGAATTCATTTTCTTGTTTTTAAGTGTTTTTGATTTGTTGGGCTTTATGTCTTAGAAGTAGATATTTCACTTTCATAATAATTTTATAGTCTACATTAATACAGATATATCATTATCACATATTTTTGAATTGATCTAAGTACATCATTATGTATTTCGGGGGGCTGGAAGTCTATTATCACATTGCTGTTTAATATGGCTGACCTACAGTTCTTGGAAATTAAGTTGCTTTCATTTGTCTCCTAGCCAGAGTGGTCCTTTGCGTGCTGTAGAAATTTGAGTCAGTTGTGTACTGGTCATACTTGAAAATTTTTTGGTTAATTGTTAAAAATTATGTTTTATTATGTACAGTATAATAATTGGATGATAGTAGGGGTGATGTAGATCCTTGCTTCTCACAGAACCCAGCAGTATCAGCATGGCCTGGAAGTTTCTTCGAAATGCAGAATCTTGGCCTCCAACCCAGACTTAGAATCTGCATTTCTAACAAGATCTTCAGTGTGCATTAAAGTTTGAGAAGCATTTGTAGCAGATTTTTTTAAACTTCATTCATTCAGCAAGTATTTATTGAAGTGTTCATGATTTGATAGGCACTTCTCTAGTACTTGGGATTTATCAGTGATGAGAACAGGCAAAGATTTCTGTTCTTTCAGAGCTTACATTCTAGCAGGAGGACATAGACACTAATCAGACATGATAAATTAGGAAGAGAAAAAAGCAAAACACGTTAAGGGGTTCCAGAGGATGTTTCTTGGGGTGGGAAGAGAAGGGGGTTATAATCTTAAATAGGGTGTGATCAGGGTAGGCTTTATGAAGAAAAAGATATTGAGTAAACGTGAAGGAGGTGAGATAGCCTTGCAGATATCTGGAGAAGAATGTTGCAGGCAGAGAGAGCAACCTTATACAGCCCCTGGGAAAGTGCCTGTAGTCTCTATCCAAGTTTAGTGTACTGTTGTGTAGTGAGTGAGGGATGGGGGAAGAGTACTAAGGAATGCGTTAGAGAATAATGGTAAAGAGGTCATGTAGGGCCTTGTGGGCCATTTTTCTCTCAGTGGAGAGCCATTGGAGGGTTGATAATCAGAAGAGTAAACATGATCTGACTTACAGTTTTAAAGGGATTACTGTATTTAACATAAGGACCTCAAAATTGGTTCAGAACATTTCTGAGTGCTTACTGGGTGTCAGGATATAGTAGCAAACAAGATACATAGAAACTTCCAGGGGAGAGAGACAAAAACTATATATATATATATAAATACGTATTTTTAAATAGAATAGACTAGAAGGGTAGAGGAAGGGTATTTGAGAAAGCCTGATTAGGATGGGCATCTCTGGGGAGGTGACATTTAAGCAGACCTGATTGAAGTGGGGGATTAAGTCAGGTGAAAACCTGGAAAAAAAGTATTCTGTGCTGCAAGATCAAGAGCAGAGCCTCTAAATGAGGTTATGGTTGGCTTGTTCCAGGGTTGGCAAGAAAGCGGGAGTGGCTGGAATAGAATAAGCAAGAGAGATGAGAAGTAGGAGGTAAAGGTGGAAAGATAGGCAGGAAACCAGACTGTGTTGTCTTGAAGGCTGTAGTAAGAAATGTGGATTTTATTCTGGGTGTGGTGTGAAGACATTAGGTTTTGAGCAGATAGTGACATGATCTGACTTGTGTTTTTGAAAAGATTATTAGCTGCTGTGTAGAGAACAGATTTAGGGCAAGGAAGGGAAAAAGAGACCACTTGGGAGCCTTCTGCAGAGGTCTAAGTGAGATGTGATGGTGGCTTTCAATAGGGAAAAGGCTGGATTTGAGATGGAATTTGAATAGGACCTAAATACAGGAGAGTAATTTCAGGTACATTCTTATTTTATTTTTTCTTTCAGTCCATAAAAGAATTCCAATCAGAAGAATATCTTCAGATTATTACAGAAGAAGAGGCATTGAAGATAAAGGAGAATGATAGATCACTTTATATCTGTGACCCTTTTAGTGGCGTTGTCTTTGATCACCTCAAAAAGGTTTGCTGACTTCTAGTGTGTACCTTTGGTAGTCTATTTTTTGGTTTATCTTTGCTTTAATGGACATACATTCTTTGCGGATTATAAAGTACTATGCAACTTATGAGTACATTGGAATTCTTTTGGTTTGGCAAGACCAGGATTGAAAGGCTAATTATGTTACAGTAGGCTTTTTTTGTTTGTTTGTTTGTTTTTGTTTTTGTTTTTTGGAGACAGAGTCTTGTTCTGTTGCCCAGGCTTTAGTGCAGTGGCACAAGCTCAGCCCACTGCAACTTCTGCTTCCTTGGTTCAAGTGATTCTTGTGCCTTAGCCTCCTGAGTAGCTGGGATTACAGATGTATATACACACCCGGCTGATTTTTTTATTTTTAGTAGAGAAAGGGTTTCTCGATGTTGGCCAGGCTGGGCTGGTCTTGAACTCCTGCACTCAAGTGATCCTCCCACCTCAGCCTCCCAAAATATTGGGCTTATAGATGTAAGCAGTAAGGCAGTTTTCAGTGAAAGGGGCTTTTGAAGTTTATTTCTTTTCTTTTCTTTTTTTTTTTCTTTTGTTATAGGGTCTCACTCTGTCGCCCAGGCTGGAGTGCAGTGACGTGATCTCAGCTCACTGCAACCTCCGCCTCCTGGGTTCAAGCAATTCTCTTGCCTCAGCCTCCCTAGAGACTGGGACTGCAGGTGCCCGCCACTGCACCCGACTAATTTTTGTATTTTTAGTAGAGACGGGGTTTCACCATGTTGGCCAGGCTGGTCTCGAACTCCTGACCTCAGGTGATCCACCCCCGCTCGGCCTCCTCTGAAGTGCTGGCATTACAGGCGTGAGCCACTGTGCCTGGCCTGAAGTTTATTTCTTTTGATAGCTTGCATTGTTTGATTTGCTTTTGTGTGTGAGTGTTTAATGTATAGTATCTCTGAGAAATTATATAGTCATCTTTATTTTTTTCTTGTAATGATTTGCTGATTTCTCTACAGTGGTCATCAACTTTGGTAAAGAATTGGTGAATGTTACAAAATGTAATTTTGTAAGACTGGTGGTCTTTTCCTTCTTAACTCATTTAAACTTTTCTCTTTTTTGTAGCTTGGCTGCAGAATTGTTGGTCCTCAAGTAGTCATATTTTGTATGCACCACCAGCGATGTGTCCCAAGAGCCGAACATCCAGTTTATAATATGGTTATGTCTGATGTAACCATATCTTGTACAAGTCTGGAAAAAGAAAAAAGGGTAGATATTGATCTCATGATGATTGATCAATTTATATATCTATCTCTTATTCTTAATTTTTCACTGCATAGAAGATAGCTTAAAAGACTTTCCGCTTATTGTTCGTGACTTTTAACAAAGTTCAGTATACAACCACAGTGTGTATATATGTATACATGTACATTTTTTAAGTAAATTGAATATAGTAGAATTTGTTTTGTTGAAAACTGGCTAATTGAAATTTTTTGTTTTAATTTAAAAGGACACTCATTTTTTAATCACTTACATTTTTCCACTATAGGTGGACAGTCTTTAAAAAAAAGGATTCTAAATCGTTTGAATCAGGGAGGTGGAGGTTGCAGTGAGCCAACATCACGCCACTGCACTGCAGCCTGGGTGACAGAGCAAGATTTCGTTTTGGAAAAAAAAAAAAAAAAGCATTCTAAGAGAGAGCTATAGAAATACATATATATATTTGGGACAGGGTCTTACTGTCACCCACGCTGGAGTGCAGTGGCACAATCACAACTCACTGCAACCTTGATTTCCTGGGCTCAAGTAATCTTCATGCCTCAGCCTCCCGAGTAGCTGGAATTACAGGCATGCACCACCAAGCCTGGCTAAAAATAAATATTTATATATTATATAGATATAATTTATGTTGTTAAAAATACACATGTATATTTATATAGAAGCAAAGATTAAGATTTATACATCCTTTGTATAATAGTTTAATACATTCATGGAGTTGAAAGGGATAAATATAGGAAAATAATATTTTAAAAATATAATTCATACTTATCTCCCAAAAAATAATTTGGTTAATTATTTAACTTTATAATGTTATGTAACACTTATGTATTCAAACTGTCAACAGCAAAATGTATTTATGAGATAGTGTATAAAAGTGGAAGCAATATTGTTTGCTTCAGCATTAATGTGTTCTCTTTTGGGGCTGCAGGAAGAAGTTCATAAATATGTACAAATGATGGGCGGACGAGTATACAGAGACCTTAATGTATCAGTAACTCACCTTATTGCAGGAGAAGTTGGTAGCAAAAAATATTTAGTTGCTGCAAACCTGAAGAAACCTATTTTGCTTCCCTCTTGGATAAAAACACTTTGGGAGAAGTCACAAGAGAAGTAAGAAAGACATTTTTATATTTTCTAGATTTGAAAAAATGATGCATTCAATCATTTTTGGCATGTGATATACTCTTTGGACTTACTATTCAGGGAAAAAAATAGTGTCATTACTCTTTTCTCCAGCGAAAACGGAAGAGCAGAATCTACAAGCTCTTATTACCAAGATATAAGTTGACAGGCATAGAATGGGCCAAGGGTTTAGCATTAGCTACAGAGTAGGAAATGCTTTGGTGATAAAGTTCTCAGCTGTAAATATTTCTGAAATAATTGAGAAAACGAGTTTGGCAATTCTGTAGCTTTTATGTTGCATTATCCTTCAACACCATTCCCATATGTTAAGATAGATAATAAATTAGTCATTTTGGCAGTTGCATTCCTTCCAAAAGATGGCATATGTAAGGTTGAATATAAACATATGCAAGTCATCAGCTGAGATGTGATCATTTAATAAATGCTAATTGAGCCCATTTTACGTATCTGACTTGAGGTAGGCATTAGGTATATGTAGTAAGCAAAACAAGATAGTCACTTCCCTCATGGAGCTTAGAGCCTATTTCAAGGGGCACACTTCAGTTTCCCCTGCAACTAGATAAACAACCACAAGACCAAACACCACAGAATTGTATTGGCATACGAATTATATCGGCACTTTTCTGGGCTTGTTTTCAACACCATCCAGCATATCCCAAATATGTCTCCATGTCAGCAACTCTCATTCCCAATGTGATTACTTCATCAGCACACCTCCCTAGCATGGCAACAGAATAATGATATTTTTGTTGGTATTTTGCCAAAAATCATTGCTTTTACTTGTATAGAATAATGGAAAGATTAAAAAGTTCATTTATCTAATAGGCAACCAAATTACCTTTGGGTTTTTAAGTAGAGATTCAGACTTATCATTTTGGAAAATATACTATGACCAGCAAGGGCTAGAGTTAAGGAAATATATATTTTTCCCTTAAAATGGTTTTGAGAGACTGTATCTGAAACAATTACTTTGTTTTAGAGACATGTTATTGAACTAGGTGAACAATTAGTGTAATTCTGTTTTGGTGGTTCTCCTTTGTAAAAAAAAGATTATAAATCCTAAAAAATGAGGGAAGCAATAGTGATATTTGTGTTGTTTTTCATTATTCTTCTGGTAAATTTAATATGTTCTTTTTTAACCATTTGATTCCCACAGAAAAATAACTAGATATACTGATATAAACATGGAAGATTTCAAGTGTCCTATTTTTCTTGGTTGCATAATCTGTGTGACTGGCTTATGTGGCTTAGACAGGAAAGAAGTTCAGCAACTCACAGTTAAGCATGGAGGTCAATACATGGGACAATTGAAAATGAATGAATGTACACACCTCATTGTGCAAGAACCAAAAGGTAAAACTGTGTTTCACAAAGGGACAAATGAAACATTTTCTCTAGTATTTAATATTTTATTTTTATTTATTTATTTATTTATTTTGAGACAGAGTCTTGCTCTATTGCCCAGGCTGGAGGGCAGTGGCACAATCTCAGCTCACTGCAACCTCTGCCTCCCTTGATCAAGCGATTCTCCCAACTCAGCTTCCCGAGTAGCGGGATTACAGGCACCTGCCACCACGCCTGAATAACTTTTTATTTTTAGTAGAGACGGGCTTTCACCATGTTGGCCAGACTGGTCTCTAACTGACCTCAATTGATCTTCCCACCTCAACCTCCCAAAGTCCTGGGATTACAGGCATGAGCCACCGTGCCCAGCCACTAATATTTAATATTTTAAAATCTTTACAGAACAGCTTTTACTTCTGACATGTCATTAATCTAGTTTGATACTGTTTTCTCTAACATCTTGCAAAGATGTTTTCTCTAACATCTTGCAAAGTTTTAACTGGAAGACACACCTTGCGGCACATGAGGCAGTAAAAAATGAAAAAGACATTACGAACAAGAAAAATTCTTTAAAATTGCTATTAAGTTTGGTGTTACATAACATTATTCTGGATAATTTTTTATCAGCACTCTTAAAATATACACAAATTGATAAAAGATGAGTTTTGTTAATGTTTTTATTATTGCCCTTTATATGTATACTGTGTTTTACTAAGCTATCTAGATTGAGAAGAAATTACGATTAAATGGTAATTGTCCTTAAGTCAGAACTTTGAGTATGGCTGATTGTGATAGGATCACTGTGAGTAGAGTTGATACTGCTGTTCTTTTTCTGAATCTGAAGACAGTTCATTGTTGATTCTCTCAAGAATGCCAAAAAACCTTTCATGTGACATATTGACCTCAATTCCTCTGTGATACTGCTTCAAAATACATTGTGTTGAAGATTTTTAAGGTAATAAAAGATACATATTTTCAATATAATTTATCTTTTGGCTTATCTATCCTGGACTTTAAGTAGAAGCCTGTTGACATTGGAATAGTCTGTTCAAAGTTGGGATTTATTATATAGCACAAATTTACAATTTTCACATTGTACAAGCTGGTTTAAAGAAATTAAGTGATGGAGCCTATATGCAAACCCAAGTCCAATATTAATTAAGTTACCCCACAGTTGCTTCTGTCTTCCTGCAGTTTGTATAAAAGATAAAACCTCTCACATGGCATATGTATTTATACTACACATAGAAAATATAATTAGGCAATAAGCTAAAATACTACTTTGTAATAAACTGTGTAGCATACTGTTTAAGAGTAAGTACTGGTAACTTTAATTTTGTTGATAGGTTTTTGAAATAACCTGTTATAGCCGGGCGCGGTTGCTCACGCTTGTAATCCCAGCATTTTGGGAGGCCAAGGCAGGCGAATCACCTGAGGTCAGGAGTTTGAGACCAGCCTAGCCAACATGGTGAAACCCCGTGTCTACTAAAAATACAAAAAAATTAGCCAGACATGGTGGCACACGTCTGTAATCCTAGCTATTCAGGAGGCTGAGGCAGGAGAATCGCTTGATCAGGAGGGAGGTGGAGGTTGCAGTGAGCCAAGATCTCACCACTGTACTCCAGCCTGGGCAACAGAGTGAGACTCCATCTCAAAAAAAAAAAAAAAATATTAACCTGTTATAATTTGAATATTTCTGCAAAGATAGATTGTAATGGTTTTCATTTCTTGGTTTCTCCTATTTTCTCTATTTCTTTCTTAATGAACGCCACAGGTCAGAAGTATGAGTGTGCCAAGAGATGGAATGTACACTGTGTGACCACACAGTGGTTTTTTGACAGTATTGAGAAAGGTTTTTGTCAGGATGAATCCATATACAAGACAGAACCTAGACCAGAAGCAAAGACTATGCCCAATTCTTCAACTCCTACCAGCCAGATCAACACAATTGATAGTGAGTCTCATTGAGATTAAAATAATTATTCTGAAGACAGTCATATTTCTATGTAATAATCAGTATGTTAATAGGATCACTGAGATAGGGAATTTCTTTTTCTTGTTTGCTGTGCTTCTAGGCATAATTGTATAATAGTCAAATTGTATAAAAAGTTAGCACTGAACTGTTCGTAATTTTCTTTTAGAATGAATGAATGCTGTCTTTTATACTCTGTTGTAATGCAAAAGATGATCAAAGAAATTAAGAACAATGGTAGCTGGGGGCTTAAGATAAAAGTATTAATCTTTTAAACATTACATGCATATATTAATCTTTCCTTAATTTACAGTTTTGCTGCAGTTATAGATCATCTGTATTTGTATAAAAATTAAAACCATTTCTATTTTGTAGGTGTCGTGTTGGCAAAATGTTTAAAATATTTTTTCAAATGTAAGCTTCTTGGACCTTAAAGTCAGCAACTTCAGATTTTTATGGGAAACAAGACACTATTAAGAAAATGTGTTAAATCTATTTTCATTTAAATAAGATAGGAGGCTTAATTAATTTCATTTTCCCTTTTTATACTTTGCCACTAAGATTTCAGTAAACACCCCTGAATCTTACTTTGGAAGTTGTTTATTGCCCTATATTTGTAAGAAAAGTTAATCCATAGACAATATGTAATCATGATTATTTTATCTCCCATAAATTTATACGTTTTCAAAATATGTAGGTCGTACTCTTTCAGATGTCAGCAATATTTCCAACATAAATGCAAGTTGCGTAAGTGAATCAATATGTAATTCACTTAACAGCAAACTGGAGCCTACACTTGAAAATCTAGAAAATCTGGATGTCAGTGCATTTCAAGCACCTGAAGATTTATTAGATGGTTGTCGGGTACGTCTTTATTATATAATACATGCAGTAGATGATATACATTAGCATTTCCTAGCCTGACTTTGAAGACCCTTCAGAGTTGGGCTTGCTCCTTACTATCTATGTAAACCCTCCACTCTAGCTAAGTAGATGCACTTACTAGACCATGTCCATCCTTTGGCTGCGAGAGTCCCTCTGCCTGCAAGGTATCTTCCTCTGTTATCTTTTAAAAGTTCATTTCAGGTTTTAACTCTTCTCTGAACCCTCCTAACTACATTAATCTTTTCATCTGCTATATTTCGAGAGCACTTAGTTTCTGAACAACTTATTGGATTTTTTTTTTTTAATTTTTTTGAGTTAGGGTCTCACTCTGTTGCCCAGGCTGGGATGCAGTGGCACAATCATAACTTCCTGTAACCTTGAACTCCTGGGCATCAGCCACCCCTCAGTCTCCCGAGCAGTTAGAACTACAGGCATGTGCCACTACACCTGGCTAATTTTTAAAATTTTTTTGTAGAGACAAGGTCTCACTATGTTGCCCAGGTTTGGACTTTAAACTATCATCCAAGTGTTTACAGTGTATTAGACACTGTGCTAATCATTTTATGTGTGTTAATATATATATAAAATCGCATTTAAGTCCCACAAATAACTCTAAAATGGATATTATCTTGAGGGTAAGACTTAGAGAATTAAAATTCTTGTTCAGAGTCACACAGAGAGACATTAAGTGGCCAGTTATCTACTCCAAAGTCTGTATTCCTCACCATTAGAGCCACTGCTTTGTTTGGTATTTCTTGGGTTATTTAGTTTTTTAGTATATGAATAACTGTCTTATAAGTTTGTTGATGGAAACAGCATATGCTATACTTTTTCCGCTGTCTTAGATTGGAATACTTAATGTATTCCTATTTGTAGAATGACTTGGCTGTGCACTAATTTTCACAGAGTAGCAAAAATTTAACCCTACCTTATTGTTAAGAAGGGAAATTGGAGCTGGGCTTGGTGGCTCATGCCTGTAATCCCAGCACTTTTGGGAGGCCAAGGTGGGCAGATACCTGAGGTCAGGAGTTGGAGACCAGCCTGGCCAACATGGTGAAACCCTGTCTCTACTAAAAATACAAAAAAAATTAGCTGGGCGTTGTGGCAGGCCCCTGTAATCCCAGCTGCTTGGGAGGCTGAGGTAGGAGAATCACTTGAACCCAGGAGGCGGAGGTTACAGTGAGCCGAGATTGCGCCATTGCACTCCGGCCTGGTCAACAAGAGTGAAACTCCATCTCAAAATTTAAAAAAAAAAAAAAAAAAAAAAAAAGGGAAATTCGGCAAATTACCTTTTTTTTTTTTAAACTTGCCAACTTACAAAAGGTGGGTTTTTTGTTTTTGTTTTGAGACGGAGACTTGCTCTGTCGCCCAGGCTGGAGTGCAGTGGCGTGATCTCAGCTCACTGCAACATCTTCCTCTTAGGTTCAAGCGATTCTCCTGCCTCAGCCTCCTAAGTAGTTGGGATTACAGGTGCATGCTAATTTTTCTATTTTTAGTAGAGGTGAGGGTTTCACCATATTGGCCAGGCTGGTCTTGAACTTCTGACCTCAAGCAGTCTGCCCACCTTGGCCTCCCAGAGTGTTGGGATTACAGGCATGAGCCACCACACCTGGCTCAGAGGTGTTTTGTATGATGTTTTATCCTAGACTACTAATTCTAGATATAGCTTTTAATTATTTCTTACATATAGAAAGTATATGATTCCAAATATTTGTTAAAATATATTCTAGTAATGGGGGTGATTTAATTTGGGGTATAAATGCAGTTTGGAGTAGATTTGTCATACTTAAATTTTTTTAAGGGCACCTTATGTAAAATAGAGGTAAAATGATTTTATATTGATTAAATTGGTTTAAATATATATATACTGATAGCTAAAAATAAATTACTGCATACATGTTATCCTCAAAGCATTGTGTTCAGTTCTTTGACTTATATATATTTTTTGTTCAGTCAACTCTGTGAGTAAGGTAACATCAATTTATAGGTAAGAAAATTGATTTAAAGAGCGTAAGCAACTTGCCTATTGTCGTTAATCATAGGCAGCTGGAAAAAACAACCCCTCCCCCCGCCCCCCACACACACACAATTTAAGCCCAGGTGTTCAGAATTCAGACAGTTAACTACAGTTTACTTTTATAATTACTTTAAAATTTACAAGTAAGCTTCACAGTTAAAGAAGTTACCTGCATTTTAGGAATTGGTATGCACTAATATTTAGAAGATGTTGGACTCTGGCTTCTATTTTCTTTATAGCCACAAAATACTTATCAAGTATCTACTGTGAAAGATAATGCTGTATGAGATTGTAAAGAGTGATTAAAAACTCAAAGTTGCAGAACTGTTAAAAAATCAAAAGTTTCAGAATGTATTTATTCATATATCTTAAATGTACACAAGTTGTCTTATTTATACACAGTGGATTTAGATATATATTTTTAGTTTTTTTCTATTGAGAGAAAGCATGTTATGTATATTAAATATTTTCTTTCTTGCAGATATATCTTTGCGGTTTTAGTGGCAGAAAGCTAGATAAACTGAGAAGACTTATTAACAGTGGAGGTGGAGTTCGTTTTAACCAGCTAAATGAAGATGTAACTCATGTTATTGTGGGAGATTATGATGATGAATTGAAGCAGTTTTGGAATAAATCAGCCCACAGGTTTTTTTCGTTTTTAATTCAAAGCAATTTCTACTACATAATTTTTCTTAAAATTGCATATCCACGCAGTTCTGGAAACTGCATGACAAGTGGGATGATGGTCTTTATAGCTTGCACTAATACATAACTATGTGCTATTTTTGTAGGCCTCATGTAGTGGGAGCAAAGTGGTTGCTAGAGTGTTTCAGTAAAGGTTATATGCTTTCTGAAGAACCATATATCCATGCTAATTACCAGCCAGTGGAAATTCCAGTTTCACATAAGCCTGAAAGTAAAGCAGCTCTTTTAAAAAAGAAGAACAGCAGCTTCTCTAAGAAAGACTTTGCTCCTAGTGAAAAGCATGAGCAAGCTGATGAAGATCTGCTCTCTCAATATGAAAATGGTAGCTCCACAGTAGGTAAGAAATGCTTGATTAGTATTTGTAGTTAGTAAGAAATATTTTAGTAGCCTAATACGTACATATGTGATTTCTGCCAAGTTTTCTAGATTTTAAGTTAAATTAACCTTTTTCTTTCCTTAAAATTTTCCTCATAACTTTTTTTCTGAGCAGGCAAGACAAGAGGGTCCTGAACCCTTTAACCCTCTCTCCTGTCTCCAGCTAACTAGCTCTATTTTGATTTGTTATATATACAGGCATTGCTTGGTTTGTGTGTGAGTTTGTAATATCATGAGCCTTTTATTAAAACCTTGTAACAAATACCTCTTACTGGATTATTGTGGTCTTTAATGCATGAAACTGTACTGTGGACTACCACCTCAGTATGTACTCTTATCATGTAGTAAGGTAAATTGCCAGTGAAGCATTATAAACATCATTACTTCTTTTTTATTAAAAAAAAGCCTTTATAAAATACCTAATATAGCCAAAAATATATACATTTAAGTAAATTTAATGTGTATCATAACTTAAAATCTGAAGTTAATCAGAATTTTAATCTACCTCGAATAAAACAAGAACCTTAGAAAACTTTTTTTTTTTTTGAAGCAGGATTTCGCTCTTGTTGCGCAGGCTGGAGTGTAGTGGCATGATCTCAGCTCACTGCAACCTCTGCCTCCCAGGTTCAAGTGATTCTTTCTGCCTCAGCCTCCCAAGTAGCTGGGATTACAGGCATGCGCCACCACCCCTGGCTAATTTTGTATTTTTAGTAGAGATGGGGTTTCTCAGTGTTGGCCAGGCTGGTCTTGAACTCCCGACCTCAGGTGATCCACCCGCCTTGGCCTCCCAAAGTGCTGGGATTACGGGCGTGAGCCACTGAGCCCAGCCTAAAATACTTTAATGATCACAACTAGCCCTGCTCCCTCTCTCCACTCATCAACATACTCAGCTTATGTGATTTTGTCTAGTATTTTCATTATCTTTTAACATCTTACAATTAGGCGTTATTATGCTTTTATATGGTCAGTATTTGTTTCATTTACTAACACGTTTAACTGTTTCTTTGCTCTCCCCAGTTCTTTTTACATCTGAGACCTCTCTTTTGGAATCATTTTCTTTCTTCCTAAAACAATATCCTTTAGAAACTCCTTTAGTTTCTCTAAGACTCTTCGGCTGGGTATACAGTTCTAGACAGTTTCTTTAAGCACAGAGATATTGTTTCATTGTCATCTATTTCCCTGACTGCTGGATAGGAGGTCAGATATCAGTCTGTCATTCCTTTACAGATAATCTGTCTTTATCCTCTGGCTGTTTTTAAGATAGTCTTCCTTTTGGTTTTTGTGTCCTAGAGCTTTACCATTTATTTGTCCTGCTTGAGATTCACTGTGCCTTCTGAATCTGAGAATTAGTAGATTTTTTGCTTTTTGTTAGGTCAAGAAATGTTTATTATCTCTTTGAATATTGCCTCTCCCCCATTCTCTATATTCTCTTAACTCCCATTTGCTTTGCATATAGGTCACTTAACCTGTCCTTATCTTCCATCTTTTTGTCTTTCTGTGATTTATTATGTGTAATTCCTTCAGATTTTTTTCCAGATCACGAATCATCTCTTCCGCTATTGCCTAATCTGTTTTACCCATCCATTAAATTTTCTGTTTTAATAATTAATTTTTCAATTCCTAGAAGTTTTAGCTTTTTAAATAGTCTGTCATTTATTTTTTTACTTTTAAAAATAGAGATGGGGTGCTACTATGTTACCCAGGCTGGTCTTGAAGCACCTCAGCCTCCCAAAGTGCTGGGATTGCAGGTGTGAGCCACCACACCCAGCCAAGTCTGTCATTTTGTATTTGTATTTTTTGTTCTTTATTTCTTAAAACACATTAAACCTATCAAAACATCTGTGAATTGTTCTGTTGGCTGTTGTTTATGGTGCCTGGTTTTCTTGTGTTTTGTGATTTTTATTGTGAACTTGTACTTACTAGGACTCTAGGAATTCTAAGAAACTTGGGGTAGGGGTTTGTTACCCCAGAAAAGGTTCATGTTTGGGTCTGCTAGGTGCCTAGGAGTTTACAAACTCAATATGCCTTTAAGTTGGTGTATTGGCTGGAGGTTTCTTAGACCTCCAGCTATATGAATTTATACCCAAACCTACTTTGAGGACCAGCCTCTGATGAACAGATTCTTAGGAGAGATGTTGTTTCCCCTTGACACAAAGCCAGTGTTCTTGACCTCTTCCTTTACAGGGCAGATTTGTTGTTGGTTGGTTGGTTAGTTTTGGTCTGTTTACTAAAGATATGTCTCTTCATGGGTTCTGGGCTTGTTCTCTCAGGGTATACTCTCCTTCACCTCTAAGTTTTATGAAACCAAAGGATTGGCTCCTATCTCTTGTGTGATACCTTTACATTCCAAGGGTCTGGGTTACTGCACAGATATTTAATAGATTTTGACTAACCATTAGCTTTAGTAACTACTTAATGTTCTGGATTTAGTAACCACTTTAGTGGTCTGGATTTTAATATTTTATCCTGTATTTTGAAGTGTTTTTAGTGAGAGTGTTTCAAAGATCCTAGCCCACCATATTTCTAGAGAGGGAATTCCTAGCATTCCTTTTTTATTTACACTATTTCCGTACTACAAAATTGACTTTTCTCAAACCATTTACTTATGCTTTAGTATTGTATCACATCAGGAAATCATCTTGATTTTCCAGGATGCTGTGGTATAACTGAAAGTGATTTTTTTTTTTTTTTTTGGAGACAGGGTCTCACTCCATCACTGAGGATGGAGTGTAGTGTCACAAGCTTGGATCACTGCAACCTCCTCCTCCCGAGTTCACGCAATTCTCTTCCCTCAGCCTCCTTAGTAGTTGGGAGTACAGGTGTGCACCACCACGCCCAGCTAATTTTTGTATTTTTAGTAGAGATGGGGTTTCACCATGTTGGCCAGGTTGGTCTCAAACTCCTGGCCTCATGTGATCCTCCTGTCTTAGCCTCCCAGAATGTTGGGATTACAGGCTTGAGCCACTGCACCCAGCCAGCAATTTTACATACTATCCTTCAGCCAAGGGTACTTGGTGTAGGGCAGGTGATTAGTTTCTTAAACCTTCCTAAGACAGCTAGTGGTTTACTGACTTTATAAGGATTAAGTGATGGTAAATCTTAGTGGATCACCAAGCATCTTAGAAAGTCTATAATAAAGTATTTTATAATTAATTCTTAAAATGGCTTTTGATTTAAGGGAGTTTTTTGTTTTTTTTTTGAGATGCAGTCTTGCTCTGTCACCAGGCTGGAGTGCAGTGGCGTGGTCTTGGCTCACTGCAACCTCTGCCTTCTGGGTTCAAGTGATTCTCCTGCCTCAGCCTCCCAAGTAGCTGGGATTACAGGCACGTGCCACCATGCCCAGCTAATTTTTCTATTTTTAGTAGAGATGGGGTTTCTCCATGTTGGCCAGGCTGCTCTTGAACTCCTGACCTTGTGATCCACCCACCTCAGCCTCCCAAAGTGCTGGGATTACAGGCATGAGCCACCGCGCCCGGCCCTAGGGGAGCTTTTTGAATGATAGGTTTATTATGTAGTATCTCTTAGGCTTTTGGGTGCGGTCTGTTTGAAAAGAGATCCTACTGCTAAAATAAACGGAAAGAACTGCTGTAGAACATGTTAGTTTATTATGAGTCTCTTAATAACTTCAGAGTTTTACTGATGGTTTATAAGAACTTAGTATTTCTACTTTGTTTTTATAGTAGTAGTCTAAAATTCTACTGGATTTCTTCCTCCTTCCCATCTTACCAACAACATATAGACGTCGAAAAAAGTTATTTTTTTCTCCTAGATGTGACTGCAAAATAATTGTACTTGCAAAAAATAAGAAGGTTTTTACTTATAAAACAAACTTTACATTTTAACAAAACTGTTTAAAAAACTTTCCGGAATGTTTTATAGTATTGCCTCACCTTTAATTCCATCTAAGCATATTCATTCCCATGAGTATATCTGTAAATTATAAGTATACTATTACCCTTTATTCCTTATATTATGAAACCAAGGGTCAAAGAGACTATAAAACTAGAACCCAGCTCTCCTGACTTACTGACCAGTAAACTCCCTAGACAAAACTATGCTTCCTTAGTGCGAATAAGTACAATTTTAATACTTATGTTTAGTAGGAGTCATAAGTTCCTAATATATATTGCAGTGTACTTAATTTACAAGTTCCTAATGTATATTACAATTTACTTAAAAATGAAAATGCTAGTGTCTGTTGGAGATGAGGATAGAAGTACGAAGATGGCACTATAACATGGTGGTGTGAACTCTGGAGTTAGACAGACTTTGGTTTGTATCTCATTTCTGCCACTTAACTGTGTGACCTTAGGCAAGTTACATAACCTCTTCAAGCCTGAGACTCCTTTTGTACAAAAGGGATGTACTGATAGTATCAGCCTCACAGTTAGCATTATGTGAGCATTACATGCATTTGTAAAGCACTTAGTCACAGTGCTTATATAAATGAAAGAGTGATTCTTGGATAGCTTCCAGCCTTGTTGGAATCACATAGCAGGGCAAACTTTTTCTCTAAAGGAGTAGACAATAAATATTTTAGGATTTGCCAGCCACTTCCTTATAGTTATTTCCATGTTAACATGTTCCATGTTAAGGACTTGACAGTTATACCATTTAGACTTGTTAATTTTTTTCTTAATGATAGTTTCTTAATTTTATGGTGAATCATCTAAACCAGTTTTGGAACTAAGTCCTGTTGGAGCTATATAATTTTAAACTAATTCAAGTTTCCATTATACTAGGAATACCTAGAACTAACATGATTGCTCTTGTCCTTCCCAATGGATGATGGTAATACTGATAAGGACTCTTGGTAACCCCGAAGACGGGGTGAATCCATATCCCTTTATTATACACGTAAGCTTTAGTTTTGTAAGTATGGTCAAAATTATCAGATTCCATGTTACGTTAATATCCTTGCTAGGAAGTAAACTGTATAAGGTAAATTGTTGGTTAGAAAACATTTACTTTTCTCTTTCAGTTGAGGCTAAGACGTCTGAAGCCAGGCCCTTTAATGATTCTACTCATGCTGAGCCCTTGAATGATTCTACTCACATTTCTTTGCAAGAAGAAAACCAGTCTTCTGTCAGTCATTGTGTCCCTGATGTTTCTACAATTACTGAAGAAGGCTTATTTAGCCAAAAGAGTTTCCTTGTTTTGGGTTTTAGTAATGAAAATGAATCTAACATCGCAAACATCATAAAAGAAAATGCTGGGAAAATCATGTCCCTTCTGAGCAGAACTGTTGCGGATTATGCTGTGGTTCCTCTGCTGGGGTGTGAAGTGGAAGCCACTGTGGGAGAAGTTGTTACAAATACATGGCTGGTAAGACAACACTAGTGGTTGAAATAAAGTATCGAAGGATATCTGAATGCCAAGAAGGTTAATGTTTATTTCTTAGACAGTTCAGTTACAGTAAATCAATGCTTGGACTTGAACACTCTTGATTTTGCTTTTAGCAAGGGAAATTCAAAATTAAATGTGCAAGCTTCTTGGCCTAATCCCGATACAGTAGAGATTACTGTTTCCCAGGGCCACAGCAGCAACATTCCTTCTTAGGAGGTCACTCTAGGGTCATCTCATACTATTTGTCTTGTTTTCTCATAACCAAAGCATCACTGGTAATTTCACTGTTGATTTTTTTTTTTTTAACATTCCAAGAATTATGAGAAAAATAGTATAAACTAATACATTAGAAGGAATGAAATTTAAAGCAACATTCAGTAACTCTAATAATAGATCTTACCGATTTTAATAGCCTAATGTAATTAGTCGATGTATGTATATGTGTGTATGTATATATATACTCTAACATTATGATATGAAATGTATTGAGAATGAGCATACACAAGTTTGTATTAAAGTAAAATTTCTTCTTATCAAAACTAAATTATTGCTTCTGTACCTGAACCAGTGTTAACCACTGGTTGCTTATTTCAGGTTGGCTTTACTATTTCTTTTGTTTTTAAAAGGTTACTTGCATAGACTATCAGACTTTGTTTGATCCAAAGTCGAATCCTCTCTTCACACCAGTTCCAGTAATGACAGGAATGACTCCTTTAGAGGATTGTGTTATTTCATTTAGCCAGTGTGCTGGAGCAGAAAAAGAGTCTTTAACATTCCTAGCAAACCTCCTTGGAGCAAGGTATGTAATATTTTTAATGCACCTGTTGTATTGGTGTATCTTTTTATTTATTTTGACTTCTTGGAGAGCATTCAAATTAGAATTTGGTTGGGTGTCTTTATTATATTTATGAGTGTTATGTGGTTCCTTCTCCACTCCCACTGCTTCACTTGACTAGCCTTAAAAAAAAAAAGTGCCTCTGTTGTCCAAAGATGAAAACTTAGGTATCATTAGAGGTAATAACTGCAGTGGGTCCAAACACATGAAATAGTGTTTAAGTTGTGACTTCATAATGACACCAAATAAAGTAAGGTAATTGGTCATCTTTGAAAGATGCTAGAGAACCAGTCCATTACTTTGAAAGCTGACAAAAGGAAAGGATCAAGGAATTACCTTGCATTTCCTGTGCAGTTTGCATCAGGGTAACATGATAGTGGATACGACAAAGTTTCCCTTTATAAAGATGTTTCAACAAACAAATAAATAAATAAGGAATGATAAGACTGTAACCCCTAATGAATGAAAGAATCTAGGCATTGAACATCAATAGTCGATCACACAATAAAGGGACAAGACATGATGTGCCTTCTTACAAAGAATACACCACCACTTTGAAGTAGTCTTGCCAAAATAATCAAACCTCAATCTGATGATGCTTCTAGATCCAATTCCCAATTTATAGGAAATGCAAACAGCAGAATAACACGTTAAACTATACTACAGTGATATAATCAGCAAGACCCAGACTTTAGTACAACTCTGGCATAAATGATCCAGTGTCTTCAATGAATATATATTAAGGGCATGGAAAAGAAGGTAGGAACCTATAAGCTAAAAGACTTGAAAAAGCAAAAGCCTAAATGTAGTCTTTAAAGTTGCCATTATTTGATTATAGAAAAGTAAAGAAGTGATTACTATAAGTATCCAAATAGGCCAAGCACAGTGGCTCACACCTGTAATCCCAGCACTCGGGAGGCTAAAAGATTGCTTGAGCTCAGGAGTTCAAGACCAGCCTGTACAACATAGTGAGACCTCGTCTCTATTTAAAAAATAATAAAAAAAAATGAGCCAGGCATGGTGGCATGTGCCTATGGTCCCAGCTACTCGGGAGGCTAAGGCAGGAGGATTACTTGAGCCCAGGAGACCAGGGCTGCAGTGAGCTATGATCACACAACTATACTCCAGCCAGGGCAACAAAATGAGATCCTGTCTCCAAAAAAAAGCCCAAATAGTGGCTACTATTAAGAAGGGAGGGAAGGGGGTTTATATGGCATGTTGGAGAGGTTCTGGGGTAGTTAGCAAGATTCTGTCTTCTGACCTGGGTGGTGGACTTAAGGGTTTCACCTTATAATAATTCGTATAGCTGTATATTTCTTTTTTTGCTGTTTTCTGTTTGAATTATATGAAATAATAAAATTCTTTTAAAACTGAAATTGTGGAAGATAATAACATACATGATGACAGACTCCACTGGATACAGCTAAAGCTGTACTCAGCAGGAAAGTCATGCAAATTCTGAAATAGAATAATTGGGACTAGCCCTAACAGTTATTAAAATATATTTTGTGGCCAGGTCTGGTGGTTCATGCCTGTAATCCTAGCACTTTGAGAGGCCGTGGCAGGAGGCCAAGTTCAACACCAGCCTGGACAATATACTGAGACCCTGTCTTTACAAAAAATTTTAAAAATGAGCCAGGCAATGTAGCATAAATCTGTAGTCTCAGTTATTTGGGAGGCTGAGGTGGGAGGATTGTTTGAGCCTGGGAGGTCAAGGCTGCAGTGAGTCACAGTGGCGCCACTGTACTCTAGCCTGGAGGACAGAGCAAGACCCTGTCTCAGAAAACAAACAAACAAATATATATTTTGTGAAACTTCACTAAATAACAGTGTGGTTACGTGTAGCAGAAAGTTTAATTAATGGACAGCAAATGTAGCAGGAGACCCAAATGTAAAAAGGAATTTACGATACAAGTGACATTTCAAATATATATAAGGAAGACATGGCTTATTCAATAAATAGGATTCATTAAAGTTGGAGCAGTATCTCATATCTAAATAAGTACTGAATGGATTGGTGGGTTAAATGTAAAAAATGAAATTATAAAAGTACTAAGATAAACACAAAACATAGAAAAAAAAAGTGCTAGGAAACATGGGAAATTTAAAAATCTGAAAAGTTGGGAACTAGAACATAAAACCCAGAAGTCATAAAAGAAATCACGGAATTCTGTTCAATCTCAAGTCGTAGACTTCTTTTTCTGCCCCGTATTCTCTGTGTTTAATATCCTATGATCTTGAGGCACTTAATTTCTCTGTATTTTTTCCCATGTCTATACTTAAATATTGAGAGGATCAAATGAGATAATATGTAGAAATGCTTTGGAAAGTTGTAGTAGGTTAAAAAATAATAATAATGTTATTTATACACTTTGCTCCTGTCATTTTTTCTGTGCCTTCTTTTGGGAGGAAAGGACAAGGTGTGGGGGTGATAACTAATTAAGGAGGTAATTTTGGCTGTGTGAGGTGGTTCACGCCTGTAATCCCAACTTTAGGAGGCTGAGGCAGGAGGATCACTTGAGCTCAGGAGTTCGAGACCAGGCTAGGCAACATTGTGAAACCCCATCTCTACAAAAAATACAAAAATTAGCCAGGTGTGGTGGTGTACACCTGTAGTCTTAGGTACTGGGGAGGCTGAGGTGGGAGGATGGCTTGAGCCTGGGAGGCGGAGGTTGCAGTGAGCTGTGATTGTGCCACTGCACTCCAGTCTGGACAACATAGCAAGACCCTGTCTCAAAAGGATTTTTGCTGTCTGTTCTTTGCATGTCTAATTATGTTTTTATAAAAAGTTTGTTACAGCAATACATTTTTACCCTAGAGTAAGCATTTGTAAGGGGATTAGCTTAATTTCAGATAGAGTAAACCAACTTTTAATCAGTATTTTTTTTTATACTTACATGATCTCTAACCACACTGTTGTGTTGGAAATTTTGTTAGTTTTGCGGGTTAATTGTATATGTGACCATTTCCACTTCTTTAAACATAAATTTCAGTGTTCAAGAATACTTTGTTCGCAAATCCAATGCAAAGAAAGGCATGTTTGCCAGTACTCATCTTATACTGAAAGAACGTGGTGGCTCTAAATATGAAGCTGCAAAGAAGTGGAATTTACCTGCCGTTACTATAGCTTGGCTGTTGGAGACTGCTAGAACGGGAAAGAGAGCAGACGAAAGCCATTTTCTGATTGAAAATTCAACTAAAGAAGGTTAATACTTTTATTCTGTTCTTTTATATATATTTACAACTAGATGGTTTCTGGGATATAAATGTGCCAATGCTTGTGTTTAGGAAGGGTCATTGATTTTTGCTTTTCACATTGGGTGCAGTGAGGGTCTCAGTGTTCGAAGTCTACAGATGTAAGCTTGGCTCCTATTTACTGTTGATTCTTTCTATGGCTCATAGTAACACACTATATAATTAACATGCTATCTCTCCTCTTATCTTTGGGCTTCTGCATGTTTCCTGTAGACCACCTCACAGTTGCCTGCTCTTCCTGCTTATCTTTCAGTTCTCAGCTAAGATACCACTTTCCCTGGGAAGCCTTTCATTTTTTCTTTTTAATTATTATTACACTTTAAGTTCTGGGGTACATGTGCACAATATGCGGGTTTGTTACATATGTATACATGTGTCATGTTGGTTTGCTGCACCCATTAATTCGTCATTTACATTAGGTATTTCTCCTAATACTATCCCTCCCCCATCCCCCCATCCTACGACAGGCCCCGGTGTGTGATGTTCCCTGCCCTGTGTCTGTTCAATTCCCATCTATGAGTGAGAACATGCGGTGTTTGGTTTTCTGTCCTTGTGATAGTTTCCTCAGAATGATGGTTTCCAGCTTCATCCATGTCCCGACAAAGGACATGAATTCATCCTTTTTTCTGGCTGCATAGTATTCCATGGTGTATATGTGCCACATTTTCTTAATCCAGTCTATCATTGATAGACATTTGGGTTGGTTCCAAGTCTTTGCTATTGTGAATAGTGCTGCAATAAACATATGTGTACATGTGTCTTTATAGTAGCATGATTTGTAATCCTTTGGGTATATACCCAGTAATGGGATCGCTGGGTCAAATGGTATTTCTAGTTCTAGATCTTTGAGGAATCGCCACACTGTCTTGGGAAGCATTCTTGACTCACCAAGGATGGCCTTTGTCTTGGTATAATGTTTTTTGTTTCACCATGACACTCTGTATCATCCCTTTTATCTCTTACCTCAGTGTTATAATGGTTGTTTATTTTGTGTCTTCCTGCTAAATTTAAAGTTCCAGAAAGGCAGTGAACATGCATGTCTTGTGAATTCTGTATTTCCCATGTCTAACACTAGGCCTGGCATGGAGTAGCTATCTAATAAGGTTTTTTGTTAAATGTTGAAAAAAGGTGGAAGGCATAGGTGGAAGAATACAGTACCCTCTCTTGTAAGATAATAGCATCCATGGGCAAACTTCAGGGACATATCAGCAGCTTGGGAATACCTCTCAGAGTCATTACTTATTTTGCCAGACAGACTGGTAATTTTATGACTGAGGCTAAGTGATGTTCAGGTCATATTAAAATTTGATTAAGGACTTTCCAAAACTAGACTGTAGTTAACTCTGAGTACCTGTAATTGAGATTTTTCTTTTTACTCTGTCATTGACTAGAAAGACATTCACTGATAACAATTTTTGGCAAATAGGCTTATTGAGACATAGCAAGATGAAACAGGAAATCTATTATTATTTTTTCAGTTAATGTGCTTGTCTAACTCAACATATATTTAATGCATAATCTGGTTTGTTTCTTGGAAAGTAGGTATATAATTTTGTGATTTAAAGTGTACCTGAGAATTGACATGAAAACTAACAGATTAGGATGCCGAGGTAGATGGATCTCTTGAGCCCAGGAGTTATGCAAGAAAGAAAGGAAAGAAAACAGTATAAAATATTACTTCTTGTGTACCGGGAAAAAGTGGGCATTAGTGGCTCATATTTGTTTCTTTTCATTTTAAATCTCTAGAACGAAGTTTGGAAACAGAAATAACAAATGGAATCAATCTAAATTCAGATACTGCAGAGCATCCTGGCACACGCCTGCAAACTCACAGAAAAACCGTCGTTACACCTTTAGATATGAACCGCTTTCAGAGTAAAGCTTTCCGTGCTGTGGTCTCACAACATGCCAGACAGGTCGCAGCCTCCCCAGCAGTAGGACAACCACTTCAGAAGGAGCCCTCGTTACACCTGGATACACCATCAAAATTCCTGTCCAAGGACAAACTCTTCAAGCCTTCCTTTGATGTGAAGGTAAGGTTTATAGGCAGTGGTCCCAGAGTTAACAGTTTTACCGTTTATAAAGTTAAAGCACCAAATTTGGCATCACCTCTGAAGTGTAGTAATAAATTTTCCAGAGACATTGGCAAGTAGATTTATGTTACTGAGTTTGAACGTTTTGAGTCCCAGCATACATTTAGGGTTAAGGTAACAGCTATAGATAAATATGGTGTGAAATTAGGACATCTGGGTTCAAGTACTGGATCGATCTTGAACTGTATGACTAGGCCAATCATTTAACATATCTGAGCTTCAGTTTGTTTTTTCATACAAAGAAGATAATATTTGCTCTGAAAATTCATAGATTATAAAGATCAAATGATGAAATCACTTTATAAACTATAAAATGTAAACACACTGATACTTTATATATTGGTTCTCAGAGTACACCCGGGATTTGCCTTCTGAAAATGTGTGTATATCACCTTACTTGAATTGTTTCCTGTAAAGACATGAGTTAAGTCTGTGTTTTAGTTTGATCTCGTGAGCATTGTAGTATGGCTCCCTTTCTGAAAAATGCATTTGTAAATCAGGGGCTAATGTAATCTTCCAAATAATTTTCTTTGATTTTCCAAAACTGATTTTCATCATTATTTCTTTAGTAGCTTTTGACCTCTTAAGTGGCTGTTCAAACCCACTGTCTATGATTTCTTTATCCACGAACCTTTGAAGAATTATTTTACTCATTCACGTGTTGATATTTTTGCTTGTAGGGTATTTAGAAGCAATATTTTAATAATTTTTATTGTGTTTTGGAGTGGACTTACTAAAAAGTTTATAGATTATTCATATTCAGAAAATAAATATTAATTGATATCCAGGACAGTTTTCCCCAAGCTAATTTATGCCTTTATTTTTGGTCAGAATTCCAGTGACGCACATTAAAAAAAGTGTGTCTTTACTATTAAACTCAAAATTCTAAGTTTTCACATGAAATCTCTTCTGAGGTAACATTTTGTACTGTGATTAATACTCAGGTCCATATCCCTTAAGACATAGAGGAAAATCAGTCTTGAGAACTGTGAGGTGTAGGATCAAGCCTCTTCTTTGCCTCCTACTGCCTTTTAAAAGCAAGTCAACCTCTTTCGGCTTCATTATTCTCATCTATAAAATCCAGATGATCTCTAAAGTGTCATAGCTCACAGACTCTCTGAAGAGCAAATGTAATAATATTGGTGGGCAAGAAAATAGTAGAGATATTTTCAGTCATTGAGACCATTCTTATATAGATACATTGCAATAAAAGTTTTGCAGTGGAAAGCTGATAGTTCTGAATAGCCTCAATACAAAAAACACATTAAAGATTTTATTGTTTAGAGTCATAGTTTATTGAGCAGTGTTTTTCCTCTTTTTTCTTTCTTTTTTGATGGCACATAAATAATGCTTCATCTTATAATCTTATAAGCATTATAATGCTTCATCTATAATCTTATAATCAGATGATAATCTTATCATCTTCAAACTGATATAATATGGTATGTTGAATTCTTTACTTAAAACATGAAAGGGCCCATGGAATAATCACAAAATTGACCATCTATTAGGCCTCACCCTTGCCCCCCTCAAAAAAACTCACCACTTATTTAAACTTAATTTTTAATTAATATACATCAGAGCAGTACAATAAATATACTGCTAATGAACTATCAGGGTTAATCATTGAGAAGCCACTATACACGTTCAGATAGAGACCATGGTCAGTACTGTAAACCCTTCCTTGTGGCTCCATCGCTGCTTCCTCCCTAAAGTATACTCCTGACTTCTAATAACTATAGTTTTGTTATGCTTGTTTTTGACTTTTAAATATGTGGAATCATAGTATGTATTCTTTTGAGTCTGTTTTTTTTTTATTGTTCTTTAACCCTTATTTAGATTTGTCTGTTTTGCTGCATGCAAATATAGTTCATTTATTTATTCCTTTGTATGGATATACAGAATTTACATTTCCAGTGTACTGTTGATGGGCATTTAGTTGGTTACTAGTTTTTTGCCCTTACAAAATAATTTTACTGTGAACATTCTTGTGCGTGTCTCTTGGAGTCTATGTGTGTGTGTTACTATGTGGTATATACCTGGAAGTGAAATTGTTGGGTTATATTTCAGCTTCAGTAGAGAATGACAAATTTTTTGCCAAAGTGATTATACCAGTTCATGCTTCCACCAGTAGTGTGTTGAGTGTACCCAGTGTTCCTCATCTTTGCTGATACTTGCTATTATAAGTTGTTTTATTTCACTTTTTACTTCAAAATAATTTCTAACTTACAAAAAGTTGCAAAATAAAAGTGGTACAAGGGGCTGGGCGTGGTGGCTCACACCTGTAATCCCAGCATTTTGGGAGGCTGAGGTGGGAGCCTCACTTGAGACCAGGAGTTCTGGACCAGTCTAGGCAATATAGCGAGACCGCCATCTCTAACAAATTTTTTTTTTAATTAGCTGGGCTTGGTGGAGTGCACCTATAGTCCTAGAACTCAGGAGGGTGAGGCAGCAAGATGGCTTGAGCCCAGGAGTTTGAGGCTGCAGTGAGCTATCATCCTACCACTGCACTCCAGCCTGAGTGACAGAGCAAGACCCTGTCTCAAAAAGAAATAAGTACAAGGATGGCTGGACATAGTGGCTCATGCCTGTTATCCCAGCACATTGAGGCTGAGGTGGATCACTTGAGGCAAGGAGTTGGACACCAGCCTGGGCAACATGGTGAGACCCCACATCTACAAAAAGTTGGAAAAATTAGCTGGGCATGATGATGCATACCTCTTCTTACTTAAATAGTATTCTTTATTATTTGTCAGTTTTAAATTATATTTTTGACTCCCACTAATTGCCTGTATAGAAGATCTTATTCTCTTTCCCCCTTTTCTCTCTTCTATTTTTCATTGCATATTTTTTTACTTTGTCAGGAGGGAAAATATATTTTTTCAACCCACAGACCCCACCCTCGTTTTGGTCTTAACTCTACAATCGAATATATGAAATGTGTACTCTTCTTTTTGAAGCTTACCTGTCACTTTTGGTAGGATGAAGTTCATTTTCTAGTAGGTTCCTCAGGAATCTGTGTGTACACACGTGTACAGTATTCCTTGAGTTCTGCATGTTCATAACTTTTACTGTGGCCTTGCTTCTTCTACAAATTGTTTGGATGTACTATTCTTAGCTTGCAGTTTTTTTTCTTGAGTTTCCTGAAAATGCTCTTCCACTACTGCCTTGCTTTGTATGTGTTGTTTTTGAAAAAAAATCTGATGCCAATCTAATTAAATTACTTGTCTTTGGAAGTTATTTCATCTTTTTGCCTGGAGGTCATGTGGATTTTTCTTTTATCTTTTATCTTTTTTTTTTAAGACAGAGTCTCGCTCTGTCACCCAGGACCCAGGCTAGAGTGCAGTGGCACAATCTCAGCTCACTGCAACCTCTGCCTCCTAGGTTCAAGCGATTCTCCTGCCTCAGCCTCCCGAGTAGCTGGGATTACAGGCATGCGCCACCATGCCCGGCTAATTTTTGTATTTTTAGTAGAGATGGGGTTTTGCCATGTTGGCCAGGCTGACCTTGAACTCCTGATATCAAGTGATCTGCCTGCCTTGGCCTCTGAAAGTGCTGGGATTACAGGCATGAGCCACAACACCTGGCCTTTTCTTTTATCTTTGAACTCAAATAGTTTCACGAGGATGTCTAGATGTTAAGAATTCTCAATCATTTGAAATCAGTTTTCCACAATACATGGTAGGTTTTAAAATTTGATTCTTTTCAAATTTTTGGTCTGAGAGATGAGAAGAATGGAGTTGCCAGTCCAAACTGAGTTGAACAGAACAGGTTGGGATTGGAGCCTAAAGATCTAGAGTTCACATGTTAGACACATTAAGTTTGAGATGCCTATTAGATATCCAAGTAGTTGTTAAATAGGCAGTTGCAAATAACGCTGGAAGTTTGAGGAATGGTTTGGGCTGGAGATAAAAATTTGGGGTTCTGAGTTTGTAGGTAATGTGTAAAGCCATGTGAGAATAGATGCCAAGAGAGTAGGAGAAGGCAAAGAAAGGAAAAAGGTTTTGTTTTGTTTTGTTGTGTTTAAGACAAGGTCTCGCTGTGTCGTCCAGGCTGGAGTGTAGTGGCATGATCACAGCCCATTATAGCCTTGACCTCTGGACTCAAGCAATACTTCCACCTCTGCCTTCAAAGCAACTAGGACTTCAGGTGCATGTCACCACACCTGGCTAATTTTTAATTTTTTTGTAGATACGGGGATCTTACCACATTGCTCAGACTGGCCTTAAATTCCTGGACTTGAGCAATCCTCCTGCCTTGGCCTCCCAAAGTGTTGGGGTTATAGGTGTGAGCCACCACGTCCAGCCAAAGAAAAGAGCTCTAAGCAACACCTTGAGGTGCTCACCTTTAGAGGAGGAACCAGCAAAGGAGACTGAGAAGGAGCTATAAGAGAAGAGGAAAGCCTAGAGCTTATTTCAAAGAGCCAAGTATTTCAAAGAGGGAGGAGGGGTTAACTATGTCCAGGACTGCTCTAAGATAAAGAAAGGTGAGAATAGAAAATTGGCCAGTGGATTGAGCATTATGAAGGTCAATGGCGTCATCATAACAATAAGGGTTTTGGTGGCATGATGGAGGTGGAAGCTGGTGTGGGTTCATAAAGAAATGAGAAGAATCGGAGACATTGAGTGTAAACAACGATTTTTGAAGGAATCTTGCCATAAAGGGGAGCCAAGAAATGGAGTTGTAGTTATGGGGCAAAGTAGGGTCAAAAGAAGGTTGTTTTCTTTTTAAGGTGGAAGAAATAGCCAGGCTCAGTGGTGCATGCCCATAATCCCAGCACTTTGGGAGCCCAAGACGGGAGGATCACTTGAGTCCAGGATTTCAAGACAAATCTGGGCAACATGGCAAGACCCTGTCTCTACAAAATACACAAAAATTAGCTGGGTGTGGTGGTGCACGTCTGTAGCCCCAGCTAGTTGGTAGGCGGAGGCAGGAGGATTGCTTGAGTCCAGGAGATAGAGGACGCAGTGGGCAGTGATCATGCCGCTGTACTCCAGCCTGGGTGACAAACTGAGACCCTGTCTCAAAAAAAGAAGAAGAAATAACTATATGCCAGTGTAACTGCCATTAGAGAGCCAATTGATGATGCAGATGAGAGAAGGAAGACTTGCAGGAGGCTTGAGTCTGAGAGGCATTGGGATCTACTTCTTAAGTAGAGGAAGGTACTAGTGGCACGTGTGCTGAAGGCAGATAGATGTGGTATGGGAGCTTCTGATTTTTATATAAGGAATCCTCTAAAATGCTTTGAAGAAATTTTAAAAAGTTTAGCATATAGAAAGACTTACCATGTTCTTGCAAAATAGATTTAAACATTGTCAAGATCTATAAAGGTGTATTAATCTGTTTGCACATTGCTATAAAGAACTACCCCAGACCGAGTAATTTATTCTTATTTTTATTTTTTTATTTTGAGATGGAGTCTTGCTCTTGTCACCCAGGCTGAAGTGCGGTGGCATGATCTCGGCTCACTGCAACCTCCGCCTCCTGGGTTCAAGCAATTCTGCTGCCTCAGCTTCCCAAGTAACTGGGATTACAGGCGCCTACCCCCACACCCGGCTAATTTTTGTATTTTCAGTAGAGACGGGGTTTCACTGTGTTGGGCAGGCTGGTCTCAAACTCCTGACCTCAAGTGATCCACCCACCTCAGCCTCCCAAAATGCTGGGATTACAGGCGCGAGCCACCACGTCCAACTTTATAAAGAAAAGAGGTTTAATTGACTCAGTTCCACAGGCTGTACAGGAAGCACCACTGGGGAGGCCTCAGGAAAATTACAATCACGGTCGAAAATGAAGGGGAAGTGAGCACGTCTTTCATGGCTGGAGAAGGAGGAAAAGATAGCGGGGGGAGATGCCACACACTTTTAAACAACTGGATATCAGCCAGGCGCAGTGGCTCACGCCTGTAATCCCAGCACTTTGGGAGGCCAAGGTGGGTGGATCACCTGAGGTCAGGAGTTCAAGACCAGCCTGGCCAATATGGCGAAACCCCATCTCTACTAAAAATATAAAAATGAGCCGGGTGTGATGGCATATGCCTGTAATCCCAGCTACTCGAGAGACTGAGGCAAGAGAATCACTTGAACCAGGAGGCAGAGATTGCATTGCACCAAGGTCGCGCCACAGCCCGGGCAACAGAGTGAGACTCCATCTCAAACCAGATATCATGAGAACTCACTCATTATCACAAGAACAGCAAGGGGGAAATCCGCCCCCATAATCCAGTCAACTGCCACCAGGCTCCTCCTCCATCATTGGGGATTACAGTTCAACATGAGATTTGAGTGGGGACACAAATCCAAACCATATCAAAAGGTAATGTAGGTCCTAGAAAAAAATGCAAGCAGAAACAATATTAAAAAAAATCTGAAAAGTATAATTGCAGGTAGGCAGTAGCCCTACCGTTTATTAAAACCTCCTATAAAGTTGCAGTAGTTAAAACAGTGTGGTGTCACGTGAATAATCAAGTTAGTGTATAAGATTATACTCCACAAATAGGGGAATTTATTATGTAATAAAGGTGGCATTCAAATTGGACAATTAGGTAGCCATCTGAAAATACGTTTGTAATTAAAGCTCACACTTTACATCAGAATACTTTTTAGATGATCAACTTTTGGGGTTTTTCTTGAAATAGGATCTCACTTTATCACTTAGGCTGGAGTTCAGTGGCATCATCGTGGCTCACTGCAGCTTTGACCTCCTGGGCTCAAGCAGTCCTCCCACCTCAGCCTCTGGAGTAACTCAGACTAGAGGTACATGACACTGTGCCCAGCTAATTGTATTTTTTGGAGAGGTAGAGTCTCACCATGTTGCTCAGGCTGGTCTAGAACTCCTGGGCTCAGGCAGTTCTGCCTTGGCCTCCCAAAGTGTTGGAATTACAAGCGTGAACAACCACACCCAGCCTAGATGATCAGATTTAAACATAAGAAATGAAGCCATAAAAATTCCCAAACATGTCATGAATTTGTTTCTAAAATAATCCTAGTGTGGGGAAGGCCTAACTATAACATACACTCCAAAAGAAATAGAAGATTCGTATGAATTTGACAGCATTAAAAATTCTCTAACTGGGTGTGATGGCACATACCTATAGTCCCAGCTGACAAGGGAGGATTGCTTGAGCCCTGGAGGCAGAGGTTGCAGTGAACTAAGATTGAGCCACTTCAGTCCGTTCTGGGCAAGAGAGCAAGACCCCGTCTCAAAAAACAAAAAAATTACAGCGAGTCACCGTGACTCACACCTGTAATCCCAGCACTTTGGGAGGCCAAGGCGAGAGGATTGCTTGAGCCTAGGAGTTTGAGACCAGCCTGGGAAAGACGGCAAGACCCTGTCTCTATGAAAAATTTTAAAATTAGCTGAGCACAGGGTTGTGCATCTGGAGTCCCAGCTACCTGGGAGGCTGAGGTGAGAGGATCCTTGAATCCAGGAGTTAGAAGTTACAGTGACCTATAATCATGCCACTGTACTCCAGCTTGGGTGACAAAGCAGGACTCCATCTCTGAAAAAAAAAAAAAGCTCCATGGCAAAAATTTGACAAATGATAAATTGAAAATAAATACGTGGGTATTATATCACAGTTGATACATGCACATATAAATTCATACAAATGAATATAAAAGTATATTCATACAAGCGAATATATTAAAAAAAAGACTAACAACCCAGTAGAAAAATGGGCAAAGGATAGGAGCAGATAGTTATCACAAAAAATTAGATATAAATATACATATAGCCAGGCGCGGTGGCTCACGCCTGTTATCCCAGCACTTTGGGAGTCAAAGGCGGTTGGATGATGAGGTCAGGAGTTTGAGATCAGCTTGAGCAACATGGTGAAACCCTGTCTCTACTAAAAATACGAAAAATTAGCCAGGCATGGTGGTGCATGCCTGTAGTCCCAGCTACTCGGGAGGCTGAGGCAGGAGAATCGCTTGAACCCAGGAGGCAGAGGTTGCAGTGAGCCGAGATCGCGCCATTGTACTCCAGCCTGGGTGACAGAGCGAGACTCCGTCTCAAAAATATATATATATATACACACACACACACATATAAAGATATTTAACCTCATTCAGTATAAAAGAGTAGAAAATTAAAGCATACAGATAAAATTTTTTAGTCTTATCAGATTGTCAAAAAAGAAAAATCTGATTACTGTGATATCAAGCACGTTTGGAAAACACACACACTCATACTTTGCTCATGAAAATGTCAACATTGGTAGATACATGTTGGTCTTGTTTTTTTAGTTTTTTTAAAAAGAAATTGGGTCTAACTGTGTTTCCCAGACTCGTCTCAAAACTCCTGGTCTTGAGCTGTCTTCTTGCTTCAACTTCTCTGGAGTAGCTGAGATTACTGACAGGAGCCACTGCACTGGGCTGGTAGATACATTTTGCTTAAAAGGTTTCCTTTACTCTTGTGTGTGCAAAATGGTTTGTGTACAAGGTTATTCATTGCATCATTATACTTGCAAAAGACTGTTAACCGAAAGCTTATCAGTTGTACACAGGTTAAATACATTCTGATACATACATGGAATACTATACACATGCAAAAGAGAATGAGCAAGCCATTTGGACAACAGTAGCTTCCTTTCAGGAGGGAACTGTTGGTGGCTTTAGAACAGGAATATATTTTGAACTTTTGAAGATTTTTTTTTTTTTAATTCTCAGCTCATTTTGACTTTCTAACCTTCCTTATAATCCATTTCTTGATTATATCCGTCGTTGCTTATTTGTTTCCTTCTGGGTTTTTTTGGTTTGTTTTGTTTTCAAATTCAACTCTAAGATTCAGGTAAGAGACAAGCACTGCTGAAAATGTAAGCTAGTTAGTCTCTTTGAACCAATTTGCTGGACAGTATGGAATTTTTGTTCACAGTATATGGATTTGATTATAGTTTATTCTTTTTCTTGTTATTTGGAGGAAAACTAGAGGAAGTTAAACTGTAATCCATTAATTTTGAGGATTCTCCCCCTTCTCTCTCTTTACCCCTCTCTCCTCCTCTTTCTTTTTCCTGTCCTATTAACCCATCTTGCTTCTCTCTCTCTCTCTTCTTTTCTCCATCTCTCTCTCTCCTTCATATGTATAGGATGCACTTGCAGCCTTGGAAACTCCAGGACGTCCCAGCCAACAGAAAAGGAAACCGAGTACGCCACTCTCAGAAGTTATTGTCAAAAACTTGCAACTTGCTTTGGCAAATAGCTCTCGAAATGCTGTCGCTCTTTCTGCCAGCCCTCAACTGAAAGAGGCCCAGTCAGAGAAGGTAGGATTAGTTCTCTTATTAAAAGGAAGTTTTAGATAACATTTCAAACAATAATGACTGATCTGTTTCTTTTATTTTCCATGGACAGGAAGAAGCCCCAAAGCCACTTCACAAAGTAGTGGTATGTGTTAGTAAAAAACTCAGTAAGAAGCAGAGTGAACTAAATGGGATCGCAGCCTCTCTAGGAGCAGATTACAGGTAGTTGGCACATCTTTCTGTTTCATGGTGATATGACTGAAATTTATAAGGAAACCTAAAGCTATTGTGAGCATCTACAAGAATACATTTATTTTGTTTCATGCATCTTTATCTACAAAATCTCTCCAGTTGATTTTTAATTTACCACATCTGTTGAAAATAGCCTCTCACATATCAATTCACTCTTATATGTATATAATGTATATTTTTTAGGGTATGCACAACAAATATTGGAGAGCCTATTTTATGCCACTAACTATTCTAGAAACCTGGGATCCATGAAGGATCAGTATAGTCTAAAAGAATCCCTGTGTTCAAGGAGTTTAGAGTCTATTAATAGTAATACATCTGGATCTGAGATTAAGTTTATTTTTACTAGTGATTTTTCAGATTAGAGCCCTCTGGGAGTAGTACTAAGTACTCTGGCAGCCCTCCTTTATTAAGATAGTCTTTTTTGAGCATGTTTTCATTATCTTTTTTTTTTTTTAAACTTTGGAGACTTAGATTGTCAGATTTTTCTTCAGTCAACCTGACAGCCTAAGCTGAAAACAGATCTCTAGCACAAATGGCATCAGTATCCAGAATTGAGAATCTCTTACCTATTTCAGCCAGTCCTGAGTTGACTGTACTCCTCCACTAGCTGTAATGCTTGCTTTGTTGATAACTTGTGTTCAGCCATTCATAGATATCATAAGAATTTGTTTAACAAATGATGAACCATTGCAGGAATATGATTAGTTTCATCTTCCCCTTTGGTAACTCTTATTTCAGTTTGTTTTCTATTTGATAAAGAAATTAGGACAGGAAAATATAGGAGTAAAATTGATCTGTAATACATATAAGCATCTTAGTGTTTGGTACATCCATTTGAAATAGTGAAGCTCTTCTACGGTATATTTGTATTACCTATTATAAATTGTTAGGTAATCTTATCTGTTATTATCTAATTACCTATTATGTTACCTATTGCCAGTTGCTGAGCATTATCTCGTTTCATTCTCATAGTAGCCCTACAAGGGGTGTGTGTATATTTTTTTTTCCTCAAAATTGAATGTTTCCTTGTTTATTCTGTTTTGATGTAGACATGATATAAGACTTTCAAGGGAACATATAGGATGTATGTTTTTATATGATTTTAAATGCCAGTCCTCTCAGTATAAAAAATAGAATTTATTACTGAAATTCCTAAACAGAATTTAACCATTGCATTGCATTAAAGTTTATATTAAATCTTTTCCTGAAATGGATTGGTAATTGATAAAGGGAAGAGCCTTATAATATGCAGAGGTTAGATATTTATATATGCATAGAGTAAAGCAGTTCTCAAGTGAAGTTGTTCCAAATGTTCCCTTCCATCATCTAGGACCAGACTGTCCCAAAGAGATCATCGGATACTGTCTTCTGTCTTCAGACAGTTAAACATGTAGGCCCGATCTTTGCAACAAATCAGATGCAGCATCTTCATTTTATTACAAATATTTGTGTAACATTCCCTCTATTAAAATGAATATAAATATAACCTACCTACTTTTATAATTTAAAAAAGTAGCAGACAGTATAGCACTCTGTGATGCATAGGAGAAATAGAAGGTGCATAATATAGAAAAGATATATGTTCAGTTATGTATAATGCCTAAGGCTGACTACACTAGAAAACAATGGAGTATTAATACGTTTGTATACCTATGTAAAGGCACCACAAATCCAACAGTCCCAAGGCTGAGACCGATCTGGGGACTCAGATACCATGAGTAGCAGTGGTCTTCCATCAATTTATACAGTAGTCACATTTTTGTAATATTAGTGTATATTAAAACTGCAAAAAAATAACTTGTTTATATGTCGAACAGGTTCTAGACTCAACTAATTATAAACAACTTTTTTTTACATACGTGAATTTGTCGGGACATTAGAATATCATGCAAGATATGACATAATTATATGTATGACTGTTCCCCAGAATTTCCAGCATCCTGTACCTTACCCACTGCATGCTAGTAGCACCCTCCAACATACAAACACACATTGTAACAACCAAAATCACCCTCACAAATGTCCAAAATAACCCCTGAAGTAACACTTTTGCTGAAACCGCTGATCTAGACCAAGGGTGTATGGGCTGGTTCATCTGTTTTTGTAAGTAAAGTTTTATTGGAATACAGCAATGCCTTTTCACTTACAAATTGCCTATGACTGCTTTCACATACAAGACAAAAGTTGAGCAGTTGCAAAAGAGATTGTTTGGCCTGCAAAGTCTAAAATATTTACTATCTGGCCTTTTAAGAAAAAATTTGCCAAACCCTGATGTAAACCATCTACAACCACTGACAGTCTGTTCTTGAATGGCCTCTGAAGACTGAAACTCATGGTTTCCATATTGTCATAGTGGAGTTGACTGGTAAACCAAATTGATTCAGGCAAAAATACTCCTCTGTTTTTCTGAATTATCTTGATAATATACCACTACGCAGAAAGGGAGACAGTTATTCTGAGAACTAACAAATTAGGCAAGGTGTATTTTTATTGTTATGTTTTAGGATACATGGTCAGTAGGAAATAGAGATTTTTATAATATAACTTAGGAGGCAATAGTACTTCTTACTTCTTTTTCTTAATTCTTTTTTTTTTTTGAGAGGGAGTTTTGCTCTTGTTGCCCAGGCTGGAGTGCAGTGACATAATCTCGACTCACCACAACCTCCACCTCCTGGGTTTAAGCGATTCTCCTGCCTCAGCCTCCTGAGTAGCTGGTATTACAGGCATGCGCCACCACACCCGGCTAATTTTGTATTTTTAGAAGAGATGTGGTTTCTCCATGTTGGTCGACTGGTCTGAAACTCCCGACCTCAGGTGATCCACCTGCCTTGGCCTCCCAAAGTACTGGAATTACAGGCATGAGCCACTGCCACTGCACCCAGCTTCTTAATTCATTTGTCTATTTAAAAAGCTCAGAGATATTCCTTACTTAGAAAATGGAAAATATTAAGTGTCCCTAAGGATAAAATTCTGTTTATTTTGGTGATTGTATTTAGAAATATAATTTTTACCTACCCTTTGGTTTTTACTTGATGTTTCCCAGGTCAAGAGAATATTGAATAGCGGCCGGGCACGGTGGCTCATGCGTGTAATCCCAGCACTTTGGGAGCGCAAGGCGGGTGGATCACTTGAAGTCAGGAGTTCGAGACCACTGCCCAATATGGTGAAAACCCATCTCTACTAGAAATACAAAAATTAGCTGGGTGTGGTGGCGTACGCCTATAATCCCAGCTGCTCAGGAGGCTGAGATAGGAGAATTGCTTGAACCCGGGAGGTGGAGATTGCAGTGAACCAAGATTGTGCCACTGCATTCCAGCCTGGGTGACAGAGTGAGACTCTGTCTCAAAAAAAGAGAGAATATTGAATAGGAAGAATTGGGAGATCATAGCATAATATAATAGTTAAGAGCATGGCTTTTGAAGTCAAAGTTATCTCTATCATTTACTCATTGAGTATCCTTGAACAGGGTACTGAACCATGTCCCTTAGTTCTTTTATCTTTAAGATTAATGTAATAATACCAGTGTTAGGATTGTTGTGAGGAATGGATGAGATAATGATGTGTAAAATATATATAGTCTGTTTTGGGGCATACAATGAATAGTGACTGCCAGCAACTGGAGGGCAAGTTGGATGCTTTGCAATTTATTAATTTGAAATACCTTTATGGTTACTGTAAAAGTGATATTCTTTATAAAAGAAAATTGAAACAATTCAGAAAAGCATAAAGAAGAAAGTAATATTTTAAAGGATATTCTTCTAAACCTCTCTCTGTATTTATATACCTACAGATATATGCATAAAATTTGTCCAAAAAGATAGAGCCTATCATCATTTTTTTAACTGTTTTTTTCTTGAGGCGGGGTCTTGCTGTGTTGCCTGGGCTGAAGTGCAGTGTCTGTTCACAGGGGTGATCATAGCACACTACAGCCTCAAACTCCTGGCCTCAAGTGTCCTCCTGCCTCAGCCTCCTGGGTAGCTGGGACTATAGGCATGTATCACTTGGCTTGAGCCTGTCATTTTAATGGTCTTGTTTACTCTAGTCCGAAAGTTTTGGGAAGGTCAGAATATTCTGTTCACAGTAAATAAGAATCATCTTAAACTAATGAGGATGTTTCTCTTGGTTATTTGTTTTTTTGTATTGGTTATTTCAGGTGGAGTTTTGATGAAACAGTGACTCATTTCATCTATCAAGGGCGGCCAAATGACACTAATCGGGAGTATAAATCTGTAAAAGAAAGAGGAGTACACATTGTTTCCGAGCACTGGCTTTTAGATGTAAGCAGTGCTTTTTTCCCCCCCATCTCTGTTAATTGAAAATGTATACAAACATTATTTCAGAGCACTAACTCAAGAGTTTTCACTCTCAATGGAACTAGAAGCCAGTTTAATAGTCTTGGTTAACTGTACACATTTCAGATCTTTGGCATCAAAAACTTAACATCTTTAGTCCTTAAATACTTAACAAATCTTTAATGGATACTCTTTCTAATTCTCCATTTCCTTGTACTAATTAAAAATGTGATATGAATGGAAAGTTTATAATTATTTGGGGAAAATTTAACATATCAATAGAGTTTAGATCTGTGTTTCTTTTTTTTCCTGGGTATTCTCTGGAGGGTAATTGATACCTTTGCAAAAGCACAGGAATGGTTTCAGATTTTATACTTCAGTGGATATGACATTTAAAACATGAGGACAATCTGTCATTTGTATGATGCAAATTTTTCAGTGTAAACTACTTTTCAAACCAGTTTTGTGAACTTTTTGCCATATTACAGTATAATGTATTGCTTGTCCTTATCCTACTTAACATCATCTATTCATTAAGATTTTGTCAGTCCTGTCTTAAAGCACACCATTGTATTGCAGTGTGCCCAAGAGTGTAAACATCTTCCTGAATCTCTTTATCCACATACTTATAATCCCAAAATGAGCTTGGATATCAGCGCAGTGCAAGATGGCCGGCTCTGTAATAGTCGACTACTCTCAGCTGTGTCTTCAACAAAGGATGATGAGGTAGGAGATATGGATGATACATTTACCCCCTCTTAAGCTAAAGGTATAATCATATATTGCTATGAAACCTTATACAGTGGCTTGGTTTGAGAATTTATAATTTTTCTTTTTCAATAGCCAGATCCTTTGATTTTAGAAGAAAATGATGTAGACAATATGGCCACCAATAATAAAGAGTCAGCACCATCAAATGGAAGTGGAAAGAATGACTCTAAAGGAGGTAAAATATTTTATTTTTTAATTAAAAAAATTTTTTTTGAGACAAGGTCTCAATTTTTTGTGGAGATGGGGTCTTGTCATCTTGCCCACACTGGTCTGAAACTCCTGGGCTGAAAGGATCCTCCTGCCTTGTGAGCCACTGCACCCAGCTGTAAAATATGTTTAAATTACTAAATACAAGCAAAGCATATATTAGAGGATTGATTTGTGGTCCCATGCTGATCATTAAGTGATAATTTGCAAAGTTTTATGTAGTTTAAGTGTAAAGCTTATGAAATTTATGAAACTAGGTTTTTATGGAGTTAGTGTGATACAGCCCTATTCCATTAAAGGTAGGTGAAGTTGGTGATTTTTTAAAAATCTAGTCTTTGGTCCAGTTCTTTTGAGTGATTTTCAAAAAGTTTTCTTATATGTACAATATATTTTAACATATCCACATGGTTTTAAAGATACAAAAAGACATATGAAGAGTTTCTTCCACCCTTATTCTCCAGCCCCCCAGTGTTATTAGTTCCTTATGTATCCTTCTAGAGCTGCTTTATGCATATATAGCCGTAAATATGTTTTTCCCCCATTAAAAAAAAACAAACAAACACATAGGCTGGGCATGGTGGCTCGTGTCTGTAATCCCAGCACTTTGGGAGGCTGAGGCAGGCAGATCACCCAAGGTCAGGAGTTTGAGATCAGCCTGGCCAACATAGAGAAACTCCGTCTCTACTAAAAATACAAAAAATTAGCCGGGCATGGTGGTTGCATGCCTGTAATTCCAGCTACTCGGGAGGCTGAGGCAGGAGAATCGCTTGAACTCGGGAGGCGGAGGTTGCGGTGAGCCGAGATCATGCCATTGCACTCCAGCCTGGGCAAGAAGAGCAAAACTCTTGTCTCAAAAAAAAAAAAAAAAAAAAACATAAATGGTGGACTACTATACATGCTATTTCATACGCTGATCTTTTTGTTACCTTGGGTAGTGTTTTATATCAGTAGATAACTAGGAGCTTCTTTAGTCTTTTTCTTTCTTGCTTTTCTTCCTTCCTTCCCTCCCTTTCCTTCCTGTCCCCCTTCCTCTCCTTTCCCTCTTCCCTTCCTTTCCCTTTCCTTCTTTCTTCCCTTTTCTTTCTTTTTGGGCAACTGTATTGTATTCATTATGAATGGTCCCACTTTGTTTAGGCATCCATTCTTAATAGGCATTTAGGTTATTTCTACTTTCTTGCTTTTATAAATAGTACTGCAGTGAATAACCTTATACATGGATGTCTTTTAATAGATTTAATATGTTCTGTTTTCCTTACTCATTCTAACCTACCAAAGCTTTCCCTATGACTTACCTATTTGGTTAGTCTCACTCTGTTCATTCCAAATGCATTTATTTAATACTTACTCCAGAGTTTAGGCTTTAAAGAAAACCAAAGGTAAATACAGTTGTCTTGTCCCTTGGTATCCATGTGGCAGTGGTTCCGAGGACTTACCTCAGGTACCAAAATCCACAGATGCTTAAGTTCCTTATGTATAAAATGACATAGGATTTGAATTTAACCAATGCACATCCTCCTGTATACTTTAAATCATCTCTGGATTACTTATAATACCTAATGCACTGTAAATGTTTTGTAAATAGTTATATTTTATTTTTTTTACTGGTACTTTTAATTGTGATATTTTTCATTTTTATGTCTTTAAAATATTTCTGATCCATACTTGGTTGAATCCATGCATGCAGAACCGGTGGATGTGGAGGGCTGGATGTATGTTGTGGTCTGTGTTTTCAAGAGCCTTTGGGGAGTCTGGGCACGGTGGCTCACACCTGTAATCTCAGAGCTTTGGGAGGCAAAGGCAAGAGGATTGCTTGATGCTAGGGGTTCCAGATCAGCCTGGGCAACATAGTGAGACCTTGTCTCTACAAAAAATTTAAAAAATTAGCTGGGCGTGGTAATGTACACCTGTAGTGCCAGCTACTCAGGTTGCTGAGGCTGGAGGATCACTTGAGCCCAGGAGTTAGAGGTTATAATGAGCTATGACCATACCACTGCAGTCCAGCCTGGGCCACAGAGCAAGACTCTGTCTCTAAAAAATTAAAAGAATCTTTGGGAAAAATCAGACACATACACAAATGACTATAAGACATCTCAGAGTGTAGTACATACCATGAGAGTCAGAAGCAGGCAGGGAGCTTTACAGAGGGATAATCACTACAGGTCTTGATGAAATGTCTTTGAAGGGGGCCAGGCACGGTGGCTCATGCCTGTAATCCTAGCACTTTGGGAGGCTGAGGTGGGCAGATCACCTGAGGTCAGGAGTTCAAGACCAGCCTAGCCAACGTGGCGAAACCGCGTCTCTACTAAAAAATACAAAAATTAGCCCGGCATGGTGATGGGCACCTGTAATCCCAGCTACTTGAGAGGCTGAGGCAGGGAGAATTGCTTGAACCTGGGAGGTGGAGGTTGCAGTGAGCCGAGGTCGCACCACTGTCCAGCCTGGGCGACAGTGCTAGACTATCACCAAAAAAAAAAAAAAAAAAGTATTTGAAGGGCTTCCTAGTTATTTCATATACAGTGCTTGTGGTAAGGGCTGCTTTTTATGTTCTGCAGTATTCATAGTTTTAGTACATTACTATAGCCTGTAGTTAATATTCAGTAAATGTCAAGTCAATAAGTTTGTGTTCAACCAGGTCTAAACAAAATAGTTAATGTAAGATATGGTAAAAAAGAGGAACTTACCTTGAATGGTGTATTTGTGTTTGTTTCAAGTTCTGACACAGACCTTAGAGATGAGAGAGAACTTTCAGAAGCAGTTACAGGAGATAATGTCTGCAACATCAATAGTGAAACCCCAAGGGCAGAGGACTTCCCTTTCAAGAAGTGGTTGTAACAGCGCATCTTCAACCCCTGACAGCACTCGCTCTGCTCGCAGTGGACGAAGTAGAGTCCTAGAGGCACTGAGGTGTGTACCTGTCACTGATGGCAGAAAGACTAGATGACTTGAGAGAAAGGATTTACGTACCTGCTGCTGACTCAATTCCATGAGCTTGGCCTAATTTAGCTTTTTTTTCTTTTTTTCCCCAATATGCAGTAAAAGCTGAAATTTAAATATCAAGACTAGTGAAGGGGTTATATGCCTAGGCCTTATTTAGCCCAAACAGTAAATATTATATTCCAGTATTATCTATTGCTTTTGGCTCTCTGCTGACTAGATTTTTCGTTCTAGCTTGTCCTTCCATTTCTTGCTCCCAGCAGTTCTAGATTTCTTACTCGGAGGTGGAGCAGACATGGAGATTTGTCTTACAGCAGCACCTGCTTCACAGTGAGGCATGATTGATACTTTTTATTACCTCCGTTGAGAAAGAAATGATTTTAAGATCTAATTTGCCTCATTTGAAATGGATTCAGTAGGCAGTTCTCTCTGCTCTTTAGTATTAGTATTCAATAGTATTTGTATTAAACAATAAGTACATATATATTTTTTCAGAGTCTTTTTCTAATGCAATATGTAAAATCTTAAAGTTATTTTTGTTGGGATTTTGCATGCATTTTGTATTCTCCTTGTAAAATTTATCTTCTAGAAAAGGTGATTACAGTTTCTAGTGTGATGTGACTTAAGCTCAGTTGCATAACTTCATCTTTTTCGTGATAGAAGAAAAAAATCTATAATTGTGTGATAAGAATTATGGGACTTGTATTTTCAGTTGACTAATTGAATTAAGTATAAGATAAACTAGCATTTATCTTACGCTAACTGTATTACATGAGGCAGTTCATTATCTCAGTACTGAGTAAAGTAGCTTTTTAATATGCTTCAGATCATGTTTTATCATTATAGAGAACCTAAATCCTGTACCAAATCAGAGTAAATAAATATAGTGTGAGAATAAAAGGCTATATTCTTTATTTTTGAAGCAAAGGAACTATTTGGGGGTTCCTTTGGTAAATTGTTTTATGGGTTTTGGTGTTTTGTTTTGTTTTTTGTTTTTTGTTTTTTTTTTTTTTGCTTCTCCACAGTGTAAGTTTTATGGTAAATTATTTTTACTAAGAATGAATGAATGAGTGAATATAAAGAAAATTATAGGACTTCTATTTACTGTCACGTGGAATCATTACAATCGCACCATAAAATGCACTTCCCTGTAATTCAGCATATTGCTGTTCCACCGTAGACTCTGGAAAGTGGTTACCAATAGCCAAAAGGCCCTTCTGATAAGGCAGCCTTTACAGCAAGCCTCCCATGTAATCATAGTGCTTATAATTTCAAGTAATTAAAAAATATAACTACTGTTAAGTAAAGTAACCATAGTGTTTGAAACATTACCCTGTTTCCCTAACCTGTATAATTAAGGAAAATCACATTTTTAAATGTACCAATTACTTTAGTATTTTTAAAAAATTTCTTGACACTGTTGAATTTCTCCTTTGAAGTTTTAGTTCTGTAGACATGTAGTCAAAATATGTGTTCCTAGCTAAAACAGATAACTTTTCTGGAAGAAACCTTAAACCTTTTTAAAAAAAAAAAATGTCCCTAGGTTCATTTATTTAATATTTTTAATGCATACTGTGTGCTAGATGGTGGGCATATAAAGGTGAGCCACAACTTTTATGGTCTAACTTATGGATTTAATGAGTTTGGATTTGTTATTGCTGTTTATTTAAACTGTCACTTCTATTCCTTAGGCAGTCTCGTCAGACAGTACCTGATGTCAACACAGAGCCTTCCCAAAATGAACAGATCATTTGGGATGACCCTACAGCAAGGGAGGAGAGAGCAAGGCTTGCCAGCAATTTGCAGTGGCCTAGTTGTCCCACACAATACTCTGAGCTTCAGGTTGACATTCAAAACTTGGAGGATTCTCCTTTTCAAAAGCCTTTACATGATTCAGAAATTGCTAAACAGGGTAACAAGAAAGAAATCTTTGCATTTGTTTGTATTAAGTACATGTTGACCTCTTAAAAATAAACAGATGAGCATGTTGTAGTTCTCTGATCTGAATGTGCAAACAAAAAAAACTTCGTAGATATTTCTGGTTTTGGTTTAAACTTGAGCCAGAAAAATAATTTGTAAATTGAGGTACTTCATCAGTAAATTGAAAAACATTTTCATAAATTTGGAAATTTAGAATTGGGCGTTTTTTTCTAGACATGGTGTCTACCATTGTTCTTTTATTCTAGCTAACCCTTTTTGTGTTTGTGGAGTTAATGCTTGGTTTTTCTTCCTATCATCTTATTTTCATTTAAGTCTTTTGAATTCTGCCTAGCACATACCTACATTTGTTCTTTGGATTGTATGAGTTTCTTTCTGAATTCTCCTATTTTTTTTCTTCCTTGAGCTTTACCTTAAAAACAAAATTTTCCTATCTCTCATCTTTTTTCTTCCTTTTCTTCTTTTTCACATTGCATGATGACCTCCCATTAGATATATAGATTTATCTCTGCTTCTGCTTTTCTCCAAGTGTAGAATTGCTCTCATGTTACAAATTTGGGTTACACTTAACAATGAAAACTTGGTATTTAAGGAAAATGTTGGGAGAAGCCCACAGATAACACACTTGCTCTGTTTAATGCTAATAAATTGCATTTTTTCTTTATTGTTATTATTGTCACATGCAGATGGGATGCATTTATTTATAAGTTCTGGGGATAGGATACTTTTTTGCCTGTACTTTTTACATTCCAGAGTTTGTGCTTGACTTCATCTTGACTAAGACAGATGAGAATATTTCCTAGAATTTGTTTTTAGTCTTATTTGGATCCTGTCACACTGCAGCATTTTATTGTCCTCAGCTGTCTGTGATCCTGGAAACATACGTGTGACTGAAGCTCCCAAACACCCAATCTCTGAAGAACTGGAAACTCCCATAAAAGACAGCCACCTGATCCCTACGCCTCAAGCCCCCAGTATTGCCTTTCCACTCGCCAACCCCCCTGTGGCTCCGCACCCTAGAGAAAAGGTTTGTTGATCCTTAATATGGTGATACAGCTTTTGCATACTGCTGTTAGGCTGTATTAGAAATTTGTTGATGTCAATATCAAGGCTTCATCAAATGTTGAAAACTATTTTTTGCATTGTATCATTATTTGTATATTTCATAACTTAGAAGACTGAGTAAAATACCACTATAAAAGAACTGTGTATCTGATCATTTTTAATGTTAATTTTTTCTAAAGTAAAACTTTCATTCCAGATTATAACGATAGAGGAGACTCATGAAGAATTAAAAAAACAGTACATATTTCAGTTATCATCTCTGAATCCTCAAGAACGTATTGACTATTGTCATCTGATTGAGAAACTAGGTACCAGTATTTTACTTAAATCCAAAATGTCCCATATAATAACCATATTTGGAAGTCAAATGTAGTCAATATTAATATCATTTGTAAAGTCTAGAAGTAGAGGAAAAGAACATGGGTAACTTGTCTAAGGCTATACATTGAGTCAGCATTGGAACTTTGATTTTAAAAAGCTCTAAAGTCAGTAGATCATGGGATTTAAAATTCAAATGGAATCTAGCAGTTGAGGTTTAAGAATCTTCTGTGCTGTTTGACTATTCATTCACTAATGAAGCTTTAAAGACTTACTATATAAATAAAACCACATTTTAATGAACTTGAAAGGTTAATAATATCTAGAGAGGAGCTCCCTCTTGTTTTTTTGTTTGTTTGTTTCCAGTTAGAAACAGTGTGGAGGCCAGGCACGGTGGCTCGTGCCTGTAATCTCAGCACTTTGGGAGGCTGAGGTGGGCGGATCACCTGGGGTCAGGAGTTTAAGACTAGGCTGGCCAACATGGTGAAACCCTGTCTCTACTAAAAATACAAAAAAATTTGCGAGACGTAGAGGCACATGCCTGTGATCCTAGTTACTCAGGAGGCTGAGGCAAGAGAATCGCTTGAACCTGGGAGGCGGAGGTTGCAATGAGCCAAGATAGCGCCACTGTACTCCAGGCTGGGTGACAAAGCAAGACTCTGTCTCAAAAAAAAAAAAAAAGGGAAAAGAAAGAATTCAGTGTGGAAGAGAGCTCCTTCTTATGTAACATTATTCTTATTCCACTGGTTGTCAGGCTCTCCACCTGACATCATTCTAGAAGCAGCATAGTAAAAGAGCAATCTGGTATACTAGAGCAGCACTGTCCAATAGAAACAGAATGTGAACCACATAGGTCATTTTAAATTCTCTAGTAGCTGCATTTTAAAAACTAAAAAGAGGCTGGGTGCATTGGCTCACACCTGTAATCCCAGACTTTGGGGGGCTGAGGTAGGAGGATTGCTTGAGCCTAGGAATTCAAGACCAGCCTGGCAACATAGTGAGACCCCATCTCAAAAATAAAAAGTAAAATGAAACAAGTGAAATGAACTTTAAACATATATTTATCATTCAATATGTGATCAGATAAAATATCAGTGAGTTTTTTTTTATATAAAGTAAAAATCTAGTGTTTATTTAACTTACAGCACATCTCAATTTGGACTAACTGTGCTTCAGGTGTTTGATAGCCACAGATGTCTAGTGGCTACTCTGTTGAACAAAGCTCTATAGAGTTAGGAAAACTATAGTAAGAGAAGTTAATCTGGCAGCTCAGCATGGAAAGAGAAAACATTAAGAAATATTGGTGGGGTTTTTTTGTTTTTGTTTTGAGACAGAGTCTTGCTCTGTCTCCCAGGCTTGAGTGCCATGGCACAATCTCAGCTCACTGCAACCTCTGCCTCCTGGGCTCAAGCAATTCTTCTGCCTCAGCTTCCCAAGTAACTGGGATTACAGGTGTGCGCCACCACGCCTGGCTAATTTTGTATTTTTGTATTTTTAGTAAAGACAGGGTTTCACCATGTTGGCCAGGCTGGTCTCGAACTGCTGACCTCAGATGATCCACCTACCTTGGCCTCCCAAAGTGCTGGGATTACAGGCATGAGCCACCGCACCTGGCCAAAATAATGGTTCTTAATAGTGGCCCTGAAGTATCAGGAAAAGATTAAATGTTATTTAATGCTGTCTTTTTAAGAATGTGGAAAACTATGATATGCTTTAAAAAAAAAAAAAAGATTTATGTCAAATACAGTTGTATACTTGGAAAAACTTTCTCTTTTTTTTGCGGGTGAAGCTCACAGCTTTATTTTTTTTTATTTTTTTATTATTATTATTATACTCTAAGTTCTAAGGTACATGTGCACAACCTACAGGTTTGTTACATTTGTATCCATGTGCCATGTTGGTGTGCTGCTCCCATTAACTTGTCATTTTCATTAGGTATATCTCCTAATGCTATCCCTCCCCCCTCCCCCCACCCCAGGACAGGCCCCGGTGTGGAAAAACTGTTTCTTCTTAGAAACTTTACTCATACAAAACACTTTGTTTCCCAGTTCCCTGATAACTTAGGTGAGGTTATAAGTCAGAATTGCTAAGCTTTACCCAGAACTCATGAAAATGAAAGGCTTCAAGTGTCAGTCTCCTATAGATTTTTCCATCTCTGCAAACTTTGGGGAAGAGTGACAGCAATTAGCAGAGAATTGATCTAGAAGAGGGCAGGAAGCAGAGGCAGATGAGTACAGATTATGTTGGAATTCAGAGTCTTGTAACTCTAGAGGTTTTCCAATATTAGAATGCAAAGAGACATTATAATAGATATTATGCCCAATCCTTCATTTTATAAATGAAGCAACTGTGGCCAACTGATATATATGTATATAAATCAGTCTATTATGTTGTCTGGGTCGCAGAATAAGTTTGTTATGTAGAATTGGAAATTGATGTTTATATATTAATATGGAATTTTACCTTCTTGTCTTTTTGTCACTCTGTGATCCTGAGTAAGGTGCTCTACCAGTTTTCATGTGCATAAATGCAGATAATAATAGTAACCTTCCTTCATATGGTTGTGAGAATTAAATGAGTTAGTAATCTGGAGCACTTTAAGTAGTTCCTGGCATAAAATAAATGCTCAGAAGGTGTTGCTGCTATTATTATTAGAGTCATCTTAAATCATGAGTTTGAATGTTTTGTTAAAATCTTAGAAAGTCCTTGATATGACCGGGTGTGGTGGCTCACACCTGTAATCCCAGAACTTTGAGAGGCTGAGGTGGGCAGATCATGAGGTCAGGAGTTCAAGACCAGCCTGGCAAACATGGTGAAACCCCGTCTCTACTAAAAATACAAAAATTAGCCAGGTGTGGTGGCGGGCACCTGTAATCCCAGCTACTCAGAAGGCTGAGGCAGAGAATTGCTTGAACCCGGGAAGCAGAGGTTGCAGTGAGTCGAGATCGCGCCACTGCACTCCTGCACTCCAGCCTGGGTGACAGAGTGAGACTCCGTCTCAAAAAAAAAAAAAAAAAAAGTCCTTGATATAACTAACTCTGCCCAACCAGTGGTCAAGTTAACCTCTAAGCTATAAATCAACAGCCATGCTTTACATAAGCTTATGTTTACTTATGCCTTCTTCTTTCCTCAAAGTCAGGCTTCATGCATTTATATCTGAGAAGAGGTTCAATTATTGCTTTTTCCCACCTGCTGCTTCATCTCTTATTTATCTGTGTGTGTTTTCTTCCCAAGCTTCTCTGTTGGTCTGCCGACATTATTTCCACTCATAAAAAATTTCCTCCTGTTTTAAAGTCTGCAGATGCCCCTATCTTACTTCCATCTCCCTGGTTACCCATATTCGGTGCTTGAAAACTGCTTTTGTAATTGAGACTTAAGAGACATAACCAACTACAGCGTGTGGCTCATGTTTATGTTCTATTTCTTTTTGTATCCTAATTATAACAATCCAAGTGAAGACAAACAGGAAAAATTGAACAAGGATTTAGTACTGAGACAGCAAAGAATCTTTGTTAATCCTATTAGATCTGATAATGGCATTATGGCTGTTTAAGAAAATTTCCATATATTCTAGAGATGCATACTGAAATACTTAGGGGTCAGTAACATGGTATCTAGAATTTGCTTTAAAATAGTTAAGCAGGACCAGGCATGGTGGCTCACGCCTGTAATCCCAGCACTTCGGGAGGCTGAGGCAGGTGGATCATTTGAGGTCAGGAGTTCAAGACCAGCCTGGCCAACATGGTGAAACCCTGTGTTTACTAAAAATACAAAAATTAGCCAGGCCATAGTGGTGTGTGCCTGTAATCCCAGCTACTTGCGAGGCTGAGGGAGGAGAATCGCTTGAGCTGGAGGTTGTGGTGAGCCAAGATCATGCCACTGCACTCCAGTCTGGGTGACAGAGTGAGAACCTGTCTCAAAAAAATTAAAATTAAAACAGAATAAAATTAAGTAGTTAAGCAAAAAAAGGTGGCAGAATTTGGATAATTTTAGAATATAGGTAGCTAGTATATGTGTGGGGGTTCATTTTACTATTTTATTTACTTTTGTATTTAAAATGTTCATAATAAACATTTTAATACATATATATATGTATATAAAGTAAAATAATTCTAAGTAAGTCAAGTTTTTTTGGTTTAAATGGTTTGGGGCATTTTATTTATAAATAATTTCTATGCGTAGTTGAGATTACATTTTTCCTAGAAAGAAGTTGGGAATCAATAAAGTACAATCCATTTTTCTCTGCTTAAGGTGGATTGGTGATAGAAAAGCAGTGCTTTGATCCCACCTGTACACACATTGTTGTGGGACATCCACTTCGAAACGAGAAGTATTTAGCCTCAGTGGCAGCTGGGAAGTGGGTGCTTCATCGCTCCTACCTTGAAGCCTGCAGGACTGCTGGACACTTCGTGCAGGTGTGTATTCAGATTTGTGGAAGTTTATTTTTCTTTAAAAGCAAGTGTCCACCGGGTGCAGTGGCTCACACCTGTTATCCTAGCACTTTGGGAGGCCGAGGTGGGTGGATCACCTGAGATCAGGAGTTCGAGACATGCCTGGCCAACATGGTGAAACCCTCTCTACTAAAACTACAAAGATTAGCCAGGCATGGTGGTGAGTGCCTGTAATCCCAGTTACTCAGGAGGCTGAGGCAGGAGAATCACTTGAACCCAGAAGGCAGAGGTTGCAGTGAGCCGAGATCATGCCATTGTACTCCAGCCTGGGCCACAAGAGTGAGACCCTATCTAAAAAAAAAAAAAAAGTAAGTGTTGGCTGGCAGTGGCTGGCTCATGCCACTTTCAGCACTTTGGGAGGCCAAGGCAGGAGGATGGCTTGAACCTAGGAGTTCAAGACCAGCCTGGGAAACATAGCAAGACTCCATCTCTAGAAAAAATAAAAACAGTTAGCTGGGCATGGTGGTTCCCATCTGTAGTCCCAGCTACCTAGGAGGCTGAAGTGGGAGGATTGCTTGAGCCCAGGAGGTCAAATCAAGACCCTGTCTCTAAAGGAAGAAACAGACAAATTTATTTATTTACTTAAAAAAGTAAATCTCAGATTTCATCACATTTGCTGACTGCTCATAAAATTGAAATAACCAAATATGGCCAGTTAGAGTATACCAGCTTTTTCAATAACAAAGCCAAACAACGAAACTTCGCAGAGCCAGGTTCACCTTTAATCACTTTTTAAATGATTTAATTTGAATGTTAGTGTTGTTTTTAATTGAAATAACATTTTCTTAGAAAGTTTCAAGATTATCTCATTGTAAGCTTTCATCTTTACTACATAGACAGATAATCAAGTTATCAGTACATACCTCCTCTGAGACTGTGTCCTTTCATGAAGTTAGTCTTACAGCAGGTGAAATTTGTCCATCTGAATATTACCAGTTGCCAAGATATAGCTATCATTTTGTTTCTTAAAAATGTATGTGGTATTTTTCTGATTTCTAATTAAAAGCCAAATATACTTGACTCTTATATGAAACTAATCTACATTTCCTCCATGCTCATAAAACAATATTTACTTAGTACTGTCTGTATTTGTAACAATTAAATGTATAGCTTTAACAGTTATTAGACTTTGGGCTCCTTGAGGAGCCCTGTATGTTGCACAGTGGCTCCCCAGACTGTAACAACTCAGGTTTGTTGGACAAATTCTCTAGGAAGAAGACTATGAATGGGGAAGTAGTTCCATACTTGATGTTCTGACTGGAATCAATGTACAGCAACGAAGACTAGCACTTGCAGCAATGAGATGGAGAAAAAAAATCCAGCAAAGACAAGAATCTGGCATTGTTGAGGTATTAAAACACAATTATATAGGTAATACAAATAGCATTCAATATTGTGACTCTTTCACATTTTTTTTAAAAGAGAATGTGCTTCAGGAAATAATGATTCTACTTGTCTTTTTTCCCCAAATTTTTGATGGCTCTTTTAAAAATAATTTATATATGTAAAATGTGGCCCATATTGCATTTCTTCCAAAGAATCTTTTCAGCATCTAATGTCAGGGGTTCTTGACCTGAGTCCACAGACCTTCTCAAAGGAATTTGTAGATCAAATCTGGGAAGGCCATGTACTTTGCATGGGGAGAAAAATACATCCTTATTTTTACTAACCTCTAATTGAAAATTAGCACTTCCGGTCTTTTTTTTTTTTTTTTTTAAATTTTAATCAGCCTACATCATGCTTTGAGAAAACTAGCACTTCCTTTAATGAAAGGTCTAGGCAACAAATCACAACACTATCAACTGTACCTGTAATTTTGCACTAACAGAAATCACATGTTTCTGTTTTGCATTGTAATTGCAAGCATCTTGAAATACTGTTTGTGTTCATCAGTACTTTAGTTATTTATATTATTTGTTAACTGTTGATTTATCAAGAGAAACTATTAGGCCACATGTTCATGTTTCATAGTTCAGGAACACAAGTCAAAGACAAACTTCTGTGTATTAATGATTCAGTCCAAAGAAATTCTTTATATTCCAAAATCACTTTGCACTCTGAAACATAATAGCACTCTTCATCTCAGATTCTTTCATGGAATCATAACTTCTGTAGAAATCAGCATGTCCTTTCTGTTTTGGTTCAGCCACAGCAAACAGAGAGCTGCAACCCCAGGGATATAAGGAATGCTCCCACAATATGAAATCACAGACACTTGGCCAGAAGACCACATATCTGAGGTTTTGTCAAAGCACTGAAAGCCATATTAGTTATTGTCTGCTACTTTAATATAAAGCACATCTATAATTACACAACAAATTTGTTTTTAATATTTTGATAACTTTCAATAAAATGGCTTCCTTTTGTAATCCTTTATATTTTAATTTTAACATTTTCTAAAAATCACCCATAAGGTTTGGGAATTATATCTCAATACAGCTATTATTTAGAGTAGTCTAATGACCAGACTGCCAAAGGGATCCATGGCTTACAAAAAGGTTAATTGTATTAGTTCGTTCTCACGCTGCTATGAAGCAACACCTGAGACTGGGTCATTTATAAAGGAAAGAGGTTTAATTGACTCACAGTTCCACATGGCTACAGAGGCCTCAGGAAGCTTACAGTCATGTAAGAAGCAAACACGTCCTTCTTCACATGGTGGCAGGAGAGAGAAGTGCAGAGCAAAGTGGGGAAAAACCCCTTATAAAACCATCAGATCTCCTGAGAACTCACTATCAGGAGAACAGCATGAGGGAACTGCCCCCACCATCTGATCACCTCCCACGAGGTCCCTCCCCCAACACTTGGAGATTATCATTCGGATTACAATTCAAGATGAGATTTTGGGTGGGGACACAGCCAAACCATTATCAGAACCCCTGAGTTAAATAGTCTTTCATGTTGTATTCTAAGTTCTCTGATATCTCCAAATCCTTATTAGCCATGATACCCTCTCTTTTAGAGTAATTCCACTGGCTTTTGTTAGTTGTTATTCCCTTCCTAAATATTTTGTTTCCAGTTTGTAAACATTTTTAAGAGAAGTGAAACGCAGGCTTCATCTAACCTAAGGAGCTCTGCTTGAAGCTCTTCCCTTGATTAATCAAAAGAAAAAAATACTAGAAAAGACTAAACATCAATCACACTGCTTTGTTTTAATGTTACCTAATCATTAATGGTTTTTCATTCCTCACGTATTTCTTGATGGCCTACTATGTGCCAGATACCATGGATTCACGTTTCAGTGTTCTGGCCAGAGATAATTATACTGTGGCAAAAGTAAAGTTTATAAGATTTATTGACAAAACTAAGTCTACAGATAAAATCATGCATTATCTGTATTATTTTGTTATTTTCCAAATGATTTCACCACTGATTGTTTTTTATTTGTAGGGAGCATTTAGTGGGTGGAAGGTTATTTTACATGTGGATCAGTCTCGAGAAGCAGGCTTCAAACGCCTTCTTCAGTCAGGAGGAGCAAAGGTTTGTATCAAATTAATTTACTGACCTTTTTACATGAATAATCATCTAACCAAGATTGCTATGATGAGTTCTTCATTTTCTCTACTTTTTGAAATGGTAATCCTTAAGTACACATTATACAGCTGAACTACTTTGGAATACTGGTAGATTGTGATACTACCTTGTTTTTTCATTAGGTGCTACCTGGTCATTCTGTACCTTTATTTAAAGAGGCCACACATCTTTTTTCTGACTTGAATAAACTGAAACCAGATGACTCAGGAGTTAATATAGCAGAAGCTGCTGCCCAGAACGTGTACTGCTTGAGAACAGAATACATTGCTGATTATCTCATGCAGGTTTGTGAGATTCTATCCTTGACCTCCTCATTACCAGAGATACGTTTATGTGCATAGATAAGTAACTGCACAACAAAACCTTCAGCTCATGATTAGTAGAAGATTAGTCTCCTGTTATTCTCTTCTATTCCAGCCCTTTCAGTTTTATTCTATTTGTGTTTTTTATTATAATGAACATATTATGTAAACATTTAGCTTGGAAGTTAAATATGAGAAGAGTATAAAAATCTAGGTACCTCTAAAGGCTTTAAAAATACCCTTTAAAATGTTGGAATATAAAGCAGAAATCGATTCCAGGAGTCCAAGGAGAAACATTTATCCAAAGGTCCTTTAGTTTTCTTGACTGTTTGCTTTCATGTACATTAAATACCTATGTTAGACACTGTGGTAAATTTAAGCATTTGCTATATGGTGGGCTTACTACTCTCATATTCAGAATTGGCCTGTGTTGTGTAATTTGAATGGGGTAAGAAAAATCTTCTGACACCAGAGTGCCCAAAAGGCCATCAGGAGTCAGCAGGCATGACACATAATCATAAGGATTAGATTTCATAATCATAATCTATGAAGGATTTCAACTGGGATGATACAGAAATAAGGGGAGGCCAACACTCAAAGTCAGCTTTGTGATTTTGCTGCTGTGCTTGGAGATTGCTCAGGATTTAATAGAATGCCTAAAACACAAATGTGAAGCCGTTATAGAGCAGAGGGCATACTGATTAGTATCCACGATTTTATCTAAGGTTTTCACTCAACGTGATGTTTTTGACATTCATTCAAGTTGTAGTGTATACCAGTAGTTCATTCCTTTTTATTGCTGAGTAGTATTTCTTTGTCTGAATATACCATAGTTGATTCATTTTCCTATTGATGGACCCTTGGACTCCTGGAATCAGAAATGTTCCAATAAGCACTTCCCTTGAGCATCACATAAGTGCTCGAAAGTTTAGGATTTTGTACCATTTCTAACTTTTGGATTTGAGATGCTCAATCTGTACATTATTGGTGGGAAGTGTAAAATGGTAAAAATCCCTTTGACAAAAGGCCTGGCAGCTTCTTAAAAAACGAAATATTTACTTATTCTATTACACAGCAATTCTGTCCTATTTACCCAGGAAAAATGAAAAAATATGTCCATAAAAAAGCCTGTATATTTTTAGTAGCTGTTTGTCATCTTGGTTATCATTAGTAAAGCTACTAAAAATATACAGGGATTTTTACCATTTTACACTTTCCACCAATAATATACAGATTGAGCATCCCAAATCCAAAAGTTAGAAATGGTACAAAATCGTAAACATTTCTGATTTCTGGGTTTCGGTTGCTCAACCAGTAAATATAAATATTCCAAAATCTGAAATACTTCTGATTCTAAGCACTTCAGATAAGGGATACTCAATCTGTGTAAGCCTTCTGGTTATTCCATATTTTGCCAACATTTAGTGTTGGCAGTCATTTGATTTTTAGCCATGCGGTAGGTTTATAGTGGGAGCACATTGTAATTTGTACAGAGTGTTTGTAATTTGTATTTCCCTGATGACTAATGACATCGAGCACTTTTTCTTTCATGGTCTCTTTGTTTGTTTGTTTGTTTGTTGGTGTGTGTGTGTGTATTTAATATTTTTTTCTAAAAAGTTATTGTTTTAGCTTTTATGTTTAGCTCTATGACCTATTACAAATTAATTTTTCTTAATGCTCTGAGGTATGGACTAGGGCTGGTTTTTTTCCATATAGATATCTAGGTGTTCTAGCACCATTTGTTGAACAGATTTTCCTTTCCCACAAAAGCTTTGGCATCTTGATAAAAAATCAAATGATCGTATTTTTGTGAGTCTCTATTCTGTTTCATTATCTACTTGTTGATACCTTTCCTACTGTGTCTTGATTACTGTAGCTGTACAGCAACTTTTGAAGCTAGTATTAAGACTACAATTTTAGTTGTCTTTTTCAAGGTTATTTAGCTGTTCCATGTCCTTTGCATTTCCATATGGACTTTAGACTCAGCTTGTTAGTTTCTACAAAAAAAAAAAAAAAAAAAAGGCCTAGAGTGGTTAAGATTAGGATTGCACTGACTCTATAGACCAACTTGAGGACAGTAAACATCTTTACAGTGTTGAGCATTCTATTCCATAAACCTAGAATGTCTCTATTTAGGTCTTCTTTAATTTCTCTCAGCAACATTTTGTGGTTTTTCAGTAAGGGAACTTACCTATCTTTTGTTAAATTTATTCCTATTTTGTGATGCTATTGTAAATAAAAATTTCTAGATTTACATTTAGATTTTTTTCTACAATTTGCTGCCAATCCAAAAGAATATAAATTTTGTATATTATTATTTATTTATTTTGAGGCAAGGTCTCACTCTGTTGCCCAGGCTGGAGTGCAGTGGCGTGATCTTGGCTTACTGCAACCTCTGCCTCCCAGGCCCAGGAGATCCACCTCAGCCTCCCAAGTAGCTAGGACTACAGCCATGTGCCACCATGCCCAGCTAATTTTTTTTTTGGCAAGGGGAAGGGGTAGAGATAGGGTTTCACCAGGTTGCCCAGGCTGGTCTCAAGCAATCCACCTGCCTCGGCCTCCCAAAGTACTGGGATTACAGGTGTGAGCCACTGTGCCTTGCCTGTCAGTCTTTTATACCCTATGATCTTAATAAAATTCACTTAGTACAATTAGTACCTTAGGCTTTCCTACATAAGCAATCATTTTATCTGCAAAGAGATTTGTAGATTTTCCCTTCTTTATGCCTTTTATTTCTTGTTGTCTTATGTGGCTAGGACCTCAAGTATGCTGCTGAATAGAAGTGGTGAGATTGGGCCTCCTTGTCTTTATTCCCTAGCCTAGGTGGAAAGTGTTCAATATTTCACCAGCTATAGGGTCTTCATAGATTTTTTTTTCCAGATTGAGGAAGAGTCCTTTTATTCCTAGTTTACTAAGATTTCTTTTTCATCATTAATTGGGGTTAACTTTTATAAAATGTCTTTTTCTACTTCTGTTGGAGTTGTTATAAGGTTTTTCTCTTTCCTTCTATTACTATGGGGAATTACATTTTCAAATGTTAAGTTTCATGTATCAGTCCCACTTGATCACGCCATATTAATCTTTGTATATATTGCTAGATTTAGTTGAGTAAAAATTTTTAAAATTGTTTTCAGGGTGGGATATTGGTATGTAATTCTCATTGTTTTGTAATGTTTTTGTCATCTTTTGGTATTAGCGTTTTGCTGGCATCACAAACAAGTTGGGAAGTTCTCCCTTGATTTTCTCGAAGAGTTTGTGTAAGATGCCTCTTTCTTCCTTGAATGTTTGAAGGTCTGGAGTTTTCTTTTTTTTTTTTTTGAGACACGGTCTGGCTCTGTTGCCCACACTGGAGTGCAATGGCTTGATCTCAGCTCACTGCAATCTCCACTTCCTGTGCTCAAATGATCCTTCCACCTCAGCCTCCTGGGTAGCTGGGACTACAAGCGCACGCCACCAGTCTTAGCTAATTTTTGTATTTTTGGTAGAGACGGGGTTTCACCATGCTGGGCTTAAGTGATCCCCACGGCTTCCCAAAGTCCTAGGATTATAGGCATGAGCCACCTGGACTGGAGTTTTCTTTTTTTGTATTTTTATTTTTTAGATGGAGTCTTGCTCTGTCGCCCAGCCTGGAGTGCAGTGGGGCAATATCAGCTCACTGCAACCTCCACCTCCTAGGTTCAAGTGATTCTCCTGCCTCAGTCTCCCAAGTAGCTGGGATTACAGGCATGAGCCAACACACCTGGCTAATTTTTGTATTTTTAGTAGAAACGGGGTTTTAACCATGTTGTCCAGGCTGACCTGAGGCTGACCTCAGGTGATCCGCCCACCTTGGCCTCCCAAAGTGCTGAGATTACAGGCGTGAGCCACTGCACCCGGCCTGGAGTTTTCTTTATATGTGGTTTTTTGTAACGAATTTTCTTTACTAGATACAGCGCTTTTCCTATTTTCTGTTTCATTTTATGTCAGTTTTTAATAACTGGTGTTTTTCAAATAATATATCCATTTCATCTTATCAAATTTGTTGGCATAAAGTTCTTCATAATATTCTTATTATCCTTTTAGTGTAATAAGTTTATTCCTGGCTGGGCACGGTAGCACACGCCTGTAATCTCAACAGTTTAGGAGGCTGAGGTGGGCAGATCACTTGAGGTCAGGGGTTCGAGACCAGCCTGGCCAACATAGCGAAACCCTGTCTCTACTAAAAATACAAAAAAATTAGCGGGGTGTGGTGGCGTGTGCCTGTAGTCCCAGCCACTCGGGAGGCTGAGGCAGGAGAATCGCTTGAACCTGGGAGGCAGAGGTTGCAGTGAGACGAGATCACGCCACTGCACTCCAGCTTGGGCAACAGAGCAAGACTCCGTTTCAAAATAAATAAATAAATAAATAAATAAATAAGTTTATTCCTGATATTGTCAACTTGTGTTCATTTATAACTGGCTTATTTAGGAGTCTGTTGTTTAGTTCCTAAATATAAGAGGATTTTTTTTTCTATCTTTTTAATTTGTGATTGCCCATTGAATTCCATTGTAATCACAGAAAATACTCTATAATTTTAATTCTTTTAAAGTTATTGAGACTTGTTTTATCACCCAGCTTCATCTATCTTAATGAACATATCATATATGTGAAAGATTTTATATTCTGCAGCTGTTGGGTGTTGTGTTCTAAAAATATCAAATAGGTTAATATGGTTGATAATGTTGATCAGATTTTCTGTGTATGTGGGTTTTTTTGTTTGTTTAGTTATATCAATTACTGATACTAAAATCTCCAGCTGTTTGTGGAATTGTCTGTTTTTTCTCTTTAATTTTGTCAGCTTTTACCCCATTTATTTCAAACTTTGTTGCTAGTTGTTTACCCATATATAATTTCTTTGATTTTCACATATTGATCCTTTGTTATAACACGTATCTCTGGGCTTACTCCGCCTTGAATGTACATTATCTGAGGTTAATATAGCCTTTTCCTGTTTACTCTGTGTCATGATATCTCTTTGCATGGTTTTTAATTTTAAACTTGTCTGTGTCATATATTTAAAATGGCTTTCTTGTAGATAGGATATAGTTGGGCCTTGCTTTTTTTTTCTTTGGAGTGTTTAGTCCATCATGTAATTATTGATATGATTGGATTTAGGGATGGGGTTTTTTGCTGTTTGTTTTCTATTTGTTCTTTGTCCTTGTTCTTCTTTGTCTTTCTTGGCTTTTTTTGTATTAGTTTAATATTTTTAGAATTTTATTTTATCCATTGGCCTTCTAAAGCAAAAATATATTTACCTTTTGGAGGGAGAAGTGTTTATATGTAGATTACAAATTACTTCCTGAGGCCGGGCATGGTGGCTCACGCCTGTAATCCCAGCACTTTGGGAGGCCAAGGTGGGCAGATCACCTGAGGTCAGGATTTCGAGACCAGCCTGGCCAATATGGTGAAACCGTGTCTCTACTAAAAATACAAAAATTAGCTGGGTGTCGTGGCGCACACCTGTAATCCCAGCTGCTTGGGAGGCTGAGGCAGGAGAATCACTTGAACCTGTGAGGCGGAGGCTGCAGTGAGCCAAGATCGTGCCTCTGCACTCCAGCCTAGGTGACAAGAGCGAAACTCTGTCTCAAAAAAAAAAAAAAAAAAAATGAAAAAAGGTAGATCTCTTGCATCCAAGTTGGTTCATTTGCTTCCCCTGTCCTTTATACCAGGGGTCAGTAAACTATAGCCACCTGGCCAAACCTGGCCCACTGCCTATTTTATAAATAAAGGTTTGTTGGAAAACAGCCATACTCATTCATTTATGTATTTTCTATGGCTGCTTTTGCACTATAATGGCAGAGTTAAGTAGTTTCAGCACAAATCATCTATCCCACAAAATCTAAAATGTTTCTGTCTGAGCCTTTACAGAAAGTGTGCTGACCTCTGCTTTATGCAGTAGTTGTCATATATTTTACATCTACATCTTATAGCCCCAAATAAGATTTTACTTTAAATAGGTTTTGCTTTTAACAATTCTGTGCATTTTGAGGAAACTAAAATAAAAAATGGTATTTTATAATTACCCTCATGTATACCAGTTTGAGTGTCAGTTTTCCCTGAAGATCTGAGTTTCCATCTGATAACATTTTCCTTCAGCCTGAAGAACTAACTTTAGTTTGGAGTGCAGGTTGATTGGGGATCAATTCTAGCTTTCTGTTGTATGAAATGTCTATTCTACCTTCATTGTTGAAGGACAGTTTTGCAGGATACAGAATTATAGATTGACAGGTTTTTTTCTTCTATTAAAGACTTCACTGTCTGCTGGCCTCCATTGTTTCTGTTGAGAAATCAGTGATGGTCATTTGAATTGTTCCCTTGTATTCAATGTGTCATTTTTGAGACCAGCCACCAGCCTGGGCAACACAGCAAGACCCTTATCTCCCCCTAAAAAAGAAACTCTAGGTTCTATTGTTCCTTTGCTCCTCCAAAGAGTACTGTGTTGTTTAACAGGCAGTTTACTTCATACACTGTGTTTGCGTCCCCAGCCCCCCATTTGCTTGGTTCGTTTATTCTCCAGGCTCTATGGTTGCTTTTAATATATTTTGGTCAGAATTTGTAGCTGTTATCCATGGAAGAATTGAATCAAAAGGCACTTACTTGGTATTTTGTGGTGATTCATTTTCAGGTTGCCCAGTCTGCCATATTGCTAGAAAATTAAGTTTTATTACACTTATAATAAGGAGGAAAAGATCCATTTCTATGTTGGGAAATGGTTGTGGGGGGAAAATGCAAGGGTTTTGGAGTCAGATCAGTTATGAAATTTGGCTTTGCTACCTGCTAGTTATGTGACATTGGTTGTTTTCATTTAACCTTTTTTATTTTATCTCAAAAATGGGGATTAAAAACACCGATATGAAATGTTTGTAAGATCTGAGCTAGTCCCACTCTACCTGAACCATACACGTATTTCTTTGATAAAAGGTGAGACTTTGTCCCACAGGGTCCATTTTGTTTAATTTGCTGGAACCTAGGAATGAATATGCGTTTTCCTTTAAGTTTGTCAGATTCATCCCTGAGAGGTCTGAGATTTAAAGAAAAAATCTATTACCAGATCACGTAAATGTTTGAAATCATTTTAAAAAATCACTTATTTTTCCTTTTATAGGAATCACCTCCTCATGTAGAAAATTACTGTCTACCAGAAGCTATTTCATTTATTCAGAATAATAAGGAACTTGGGACTGGATTATCACAAAAGAGGAAAGCTCCTACAGAAAAAAATAAAATCAAACGACCTAGAGTACACTAATCGCATCTACCCTTTAGTTACCAAACATTAAATGTTTTTAAAAATTGAAAGCCTGAATGTGACTGTGATAGATTTGGGTAGTAATTTAAAGATGAGTACCTGAAGAATTCTGCTTCAGAGTATAATGATGACCCTTCTTGAGTTTTGAACACCTGAAATTGTAATCACTGAAATATTAACTGTTTCTTAATAAAAAGTTACCTGAAATAACAACAAAATACAACTCCTCAGCTAGCTTGCTGTTAAACCACATTGAAGTCTGTTAAAAGATATTTATTTTTCTTGTAAATATCTGAAGCTGTAGCTTAGTGGAAATTTTAGCAAGGTAATGGATTTTGCTTTAAAATGTCTGCCTTACAAATTCATAACAACAAGATTTGTCAGTCAGCATTTATTCATGTTTTCCCTGATTTTTATCTTCTCACCATTTTACCTCTTTTAACAGGAGCCTGAGCACAAGGTTTAATGAGGAAGCTGGGGCTATAAATATGTGTGTATATATGTATATGTATGTTTGTACAAATCTCCATGATGTTTGCCAAGTTTGAATGCGCAAAACTTGGAAAATGTGACAATAAAGAATAAAAGTAGTAACTCAAATTAGTATTAAGATGTGTTTACATAGATAAATTTTTTAAAAGAGCACCCTGGCATCTGTTCTTCTGTTGAAGCAACAAAACATTTATGTAACGTAAAAAATGAATTGCAGGGGCCTGGGTGCGGTGGCTCGTGCCTGTAATCCCAGCACTTTGGGAGGCTGAGGCAGGCGGATCGTCTGAGGTCGGGAGTTTGAGACCAGCCTGACCAACATGGAGAAACCTCATCTGTACTAAAAATACAAAAAATTAGCCCAGTGTGGTGGCACATGCCTGTAATCCCAGCTACTCAGGAGGCTGAGGCAGGAGAATCGCTTGAACCCGGGAGGCGGAGGTTGCGGTGAGCTGAGATCGCGCCATTGCACTCCAGCCTGGGCAACAAGAGCGAAACTCCATCTCAAAAAAAAAAAAAAAAAGAATTGCAGGCCAGGCACGGTGGCTCATGCTTGTAATCCCACCACTTTGGGAGGCCAAGGTGGGTGGACTGCTTGAACCCAGAAGTTCAAGACCAGCCTGGACAACATGGCGAAACCCCATCTCTGCAAAAAATAGCAAAAAATTAGCCGGGCATGCTGTTTGATGCTTGTAGTCCCAGCTACTTGGGAGGCTGAGGCATGAGAATTACTTGAACTCAGGAGGCAGAGGTTGCAGTGAGCTGAAATCATGCCACTGCAACTCCAGCCTGGGTGACAGAATGAGACCCTGTCTCAAAAAAAATAAATGAATTGCTTAACATTTCTGATATTTGTTATTTAGAATATTGCCCTATTAGATTAAAACATACTGTTATTGGAACTCTGTATTGCATTAGCCTTTATTATGCTAAACCTAAACACCTAATACTACATGCGTTACCAGAATTCTCTATAAATACACCTAATTTCATTTTAAGGACAAACTAGAATCCGTTAGGAATGTAATTTTGATGTAAACCGTTCAATTCCAAATGACTTTTTGAAAGGCAGATTCAAACAGTGAAGGAGAGAGTGCTCAACTTGGACACAAAATCCCTTAAATTTTCATCAGATTTTCTTCAAAATGGAGTTGAGGGTATCCCTGCTGCTAGAGGATTGGTCCTACAGGGTTTTCAGCTTTGAGCTAGTTCACAGCTTAGGACAATACAAATTCTACACAGAGAAATAGGTAGCATTATGATGTAAACTGTCCCCCTCCCACCAAACAAAAACCACATGGGCCTGTCTTTATCAGAGCTATTTTATTTTAGCTGAATCATTTTGTAGATTGTAGTACGTTTCCCTGAATTTTATTACTCAGAATCCTTTGAAATAGGCCAGGCACAGTGGCTCACACTTGTAATCCCAGCACTTTGGGAGGCCAAGGTGGGCAGATTACTTTAGGTCAGGAGTTCGAGACCAGCCTGGCCAACATGACGAAACTCCATCTCTACTAAAAATACCAAAATTAGCCAGGTGTGCCGGCACGTGCCTGTAATCCCAGCTACATGGGAGGCTGAGGCAGGAGAATCACTTGAACCAGGAGGTGGAGGTTGCAGTGAGCCGAGATCGCACCACTGCACTCTAGCCTGGGTGACAGAGTGAGACTCCATCTCAAAAAAAAAAAAAAAAAAAATTCTTTGAAATAGTTACTTTTTAAATTACCTAATATACCACTTTCTTTTCTGCCAAAATTATGAATGGTTTTCCAGTTCAAACTTAGACACACAGTTTACCATTTAAGGCTCCAGGTCTCAGTTTCTCCTCCTAACTTTCCAGCATCTGCCCATACTCTGTATAAGCCACTTGAACTCTGGCTTTGGCTGTTAATCTGTAAATGTCCTAATGCCAGCAACAATATCCTCTTATATACAAATAATTCCAAGCATAGGTAGTCTTCTTGTTTAAAAAGGGGAGGGGGCAGAACTTGCCTTGATTAGATTAGTATGAGTTTCTTTTCTGAATGGCTACGATATTTTAATCTGTGATATTTAAATTATCACCTTATATCCCTCCACGAATTTTCCTGTGCATTAGTCTGATCTCACCAACATTCGTTAATTCAACAGGTAGGAATCCTCAACCTGTGCCTAGGATTCAGCAACAAACCACCTGGAACACATGGTCCCTTAGCACTTGAAGAGGTAGGAATCCTTACTGTAAATACAGTACTCAATTATACTCAGATTTAGTATTTACACTGTTAAGGACTGAGCTTGTCCCCCTAAAATTCACAGGTTAAAGCCTAACCTGCTATGTGACTGTAGACAGAGCCTTTATAAGGGGATTAAATGAGGTCATAAGAATGAGTCCCTAACCCACCAGGACTAGTGTCCTGGTAAGAAGAGGGAGGCACACCAGGAGTTTGCCGGCACGGAGGAAAAGCCCTGTGAGGACACGGGGAGGGCAGCTATCTGTTTACACACCAGGAAGAAATGTCTCACCAGATACCAACCCTGGCCGTCTCCTGGATTTTGGATTTCCAATCTCCAGAACTGTGAGAAAATAAATTTCTGTTTAAGCCACTCAGCTTGTGATGTTCCTTTGTGGCAGCCTGAGCAGACCAGTAACAATATTAACAGTAATAAGGTTCTTACTTTGGGGCCTGAGATGCCTGGGAATGGAACAGGCTGTTTTGTATATGAGCATTTTTAGGGTAGAGTTCATAATTCTAGAGTTTGGATCTGTGACTTTCCACCCAAAAGTCACAAACCACTGCTCTAATGCAAACCTATTATTTCACATTTACACCTCTCACCTAGAAGTGCTTTAATACAGGCTGCTTTGTATCAGGGCTTGGTTTCCTTCTGACCTTTCAAGACATAAAAATCATTACTAGCTTGAGGCCATGCAAAAATAAGCAGTGGGCCATAGTTGACTGTTCCTTATTTTCTATCCCTAAAAAGATTTTAAAATCTAGATCTGTCAACAAGCAAGGCACCCAGCTCAATTTTTTTTTTCTTTTGAGACGGAGCCTCGCTCTTGTTGCCCAGGCTGGAGTACAGTGGCATGATCTCAGCTCACTGCAACCTCTGCCTCCTGGGTTCAAGCCATGCTCCTGCCTCAGCCTCCTGAGTAGCTGGGATTACAGACGTGTGCCACCACGCCCAGCTAACTTTTCTATTTTTGTAGAGATGGGGTTTCGCCATGTTGGCCAGGCTGGTCTCAAACTTCTGACCTCAAGTGATCTGCCCGCCTCAGCCTCTCAAAGTGCTGGGATTACAGGTGTGAGCCACCGCGCCCTGCCACTCAGCTCCTTTTCTACCATCCTGAGTAGCAGTCTATGGCAGACATACTTGACAACAACTCAGGCATACCCTGGGAAGTGACCCTGTGGTCTAAGAAGAATGTATGTTTGGAGTTCCAAGTTAAGGAATCCAGGAGTGGCCAGTCCAGAGACTGACTCCTTATCATCAATGACGGATGTCCATACCCCTGCCCCATTCCTTGGAATGCAGGCTGTATAGGGGATGGTGGCCCTTTGTATTGGGTTAAGTGGAAGTTGTTAGGTAGAGGTTGCTATGTGAAAATGACATGTTAGACTGCATGCTTTTAAAAAACAGTAGCAATTTTTGGCCGGGTGCGGTGGCTCATGCCTGTAGTCCCAGCACTTTGGGAGGCCGAGGCGGGCGGATCACGAGGTCAGGAGATCGAGACCATCCTGGCTAACACGGTGAAACCCCGTCTCTACTAAGAATACACACACCCAAAAATTAGCTGGGTGTGGCGGCGTGCACCTGTAGTCCCAGCTGCTGGGGAGGCTGAGGCAGGAGAATGGTGTGAACCTGGGAGGCAGAGCTTGCACTGAGCCGAGATCGCGCCACTGCACTCCCGCCTGGGCGACAGAGCGAGACTCCGTCTCAAAAAAAAAAAAAAAAAAAAAAAAAAAAAAAAAAAAGGAGCAATTTTCCTGTCCAGCCCACTGCTCCTGGACTGTTGTGTAATGTAAGTCCACAATAAACCCTATGTCTCATTCACTGGCTCCACATCTCTTCTTCAGCCTCCCTCACGTGGTACCATCCCCACTAGAGTCAATAGCAGTCTGGCATGACAAGTAGTAGCATTAAGCAGAGCCATCTCATGCTTGTTTAACATTTGGAAATCTGCAATGAAAATTATCAAGTTTTGGCTGGGCGTGGTGGCTCACACCTGTAATCCTAGCACTTTGGGAGGCCGAGGCCGAGGTCAGGAGTTCGAGACCAGCCTGGCCAACGTGGTGAACTCTCATCTCTGGGAGAAAAATACAAAAATTAGCTGGGAGTGGTGGTGGGCGTCTGTAGTCCCAGCTACTCAGGAGGCTGAGACAGGAGAATCGCTTGAACCCGGGAGGTGGCGGTTGCAGTGAGCCGAGATTGTGCCACTGCACTCCAGCCTGGGCGACAGAGGGAGACTCCGTCTCAGAAAAAAAAAAAAAAGAACTTTCTGCTGCTTTGAGGGGAGACTGAAGAAGTCAGGCTCTAATGCATCCCTGCTGACCTTGGGATGGGAACAGGGCAAACAGCATTTTCAAGTCATTTCGAAGGAGCATTTGGTTATCATGTTCCTTCTCTACCCTTACTTAAATCTAAGGTGAAGAGTGGAAGCAAAGCCTCATGGTTAAAAACATGCTGGAGCCAAAACACCTGGGTTGGAGTCCTGGCTCTTTCATTACTAGCTATGACTCCAGCAAGCTATTTAACCTTTCAGAACCTATTTTCCCCTCTTTAAGGGGCTTTCAGGGTTAAACGAGTCAACATTTGTTACCTGTTGCCTGGCTCAAGGTTAAAAACTATACAATTTTTTAAAATTCCAGTAAGTGATTTAACACTTTTGCCAGCTGGAGCTAAGGTTTTAAAAAAAGAAGAGGATGTCAGGACAGAACAAAAGAATATAATGGGAGCTTGCAACCTCCTCTTCACTCCCATTACCATGGTGCCACTGAGGTTGGGAGTCCCTGACTTCCCTGTTTAATTCAGGTTCTAATTAAAGACATACATTTGAACTGTAAAATCAGAGAAATCCAATAAGGAAGCCATAGTAGTCCCAGCAATTTATAATAAAACCAAAGACAAACCTAAGAGATTCCAGTCTGTGCCCACACCTCATTATGAAAAGATGCTTAAGTATAACCCACATGATCTTTAAAAGGCAGGAACTGGTGAGTAAGGTGAGTCACAGACCCAGAGTGTGTAGGTGGTACAAGCTACACTTGGCCTGAGGTTCTGATTCTTAAATAGATGAGCTATATGATTCTGCGGCTGCCAAAGCTTATCTCTGGTAAGGTTAATTATGGTTGAATTCATAGTCACCAGGAAGAATAGCAGAATTCTAAAGAAACTCTTAAAACCCAGAGGTGCTATAACTGAGCAACATAATGAAAGGGCAAATTTAAAGTGGCCAGGGGTAGTGTAAGGCAGATTAACATTTACAGTGAGTAAACTCAGGAATGGTCAGATCTGCTGTCAAAAGACAAGTCAAACATCATGGAAGTATTGTTGGAGAAGGATAACGAGTAGCTACAGAAGTTACATTGATGATGAGGCAGTTATCTAAGAAATGACAGATAAGATATTAAAAATGGTCTTTATATACTGATAACTACTGAACTACAAAAATGTGTAGTTTTGTAAAAAATCAAAGAAATTTACTATTTCAGTTGACAAGTCTTTCCCTCCAACTTCAGTATCCACTTTCCCTCATTTAACAGTATCCAAAAATGCATTTAGGAATATGATAATCATTTCTGGTCTAAGCATGCAATTTAAGGGATTTCCTGCTTGAGCTAGCCCTATGGTTGTCTTCCAACTGCCTACTAGGGAAATAATTTATCATTTTTTGACATAACCCAGTGGTTCCCAGATTTTGCTGCACATTAGAACTATGGGACTTGAAAAAACATTCCTCTGCTCGGGTCACACTCCATACTAATTAATTCAGAATGTCTGGATGTGGGAGTCGGGCATCACTTTTTTTTTTTTTGAGACGGAGTCTTGATCTGTAGCCCAGGCTGGAGTGCAATGGTACCATCTCGGCTCACTGCAAGCTCCGCCTCCCGGGTTCGAGTGATTCTCCTGCCTCAGCCTCCTGAGTAGCTGGGACTACAGGCGTCCACCACCGTGCCCGGCTAATTTTTGTATTTTTAGTAGAGATGGGGTTTCACTGTGTTGGCCAGGCTGGTCTTGAACTCCTGACCTCAGGTGATCCGCCCACCTCGGCCTCCTAAAGTGCAGGGATTACAGGCGTGAGCCACCGCACCCAGCGAGTTTTTTTTTTTTTTTTTTTTTTTTAATGATTCCCAGGTTATTCCAAAATGCAGCAGTTTGAGAACCATGGACATAATCTTACAGAGTTGCTCCACTTCTTATGATTAAAATTGCGAAGGCTGGGTGCTACTCTCCATCATATTTGGAGATGAACCATTTTACAGAGGTTTCTTGGGGCATGCTTTGACTGGATCCCTGAACAGTTAGGTTGAGGGATTAAAAAGACTTTTAAAGTGGATGACTTAAATCCTACCCATCGTCTGTATTACTATATCCAATTATTTAGAATTCTAGTTCCCACTTGGGCTGCAAATTCAAAAGAATTGAACTGCCTTAATGATTACTTTTATGTATATCCTAAATTCCTGATGTGAACATAATTCCTATTTTAGATAATACAAATAAGATTATTTAAAGCAATTATTTCTAAGGCCAGGTGTGATGGCTCACACCTGTAATCCCAGCAATTTGGGAGGCCGAGGTGGGCAGATTACTTGAGGTCAGAAGTTCAAGACCAGCCTGGACAACATGGGGAAACCCTGTCTCCACTAATACAAAAAAAAAAAAAAAAAATTAGCCGGGCGTGGTGGCATGCGCCTGTAATCCCAGCTACTGGGGAGCCTGAGGCATAAGAATTGTTTGAACCTGGGAGGCAGAGGTTGTGGTGAGCTGGGATCGTGTCACTGCACTCCAGCCTGGGTGACAGAGTGAAACTGTGTCAAAAAGATAAAATAAGCAATTATTTCTTACTCAATATATCACTCATAATATTCATTATCTTTATTTCAAGCCCAGGAGAAGCAATTCATAACTTGCCTGCATTCTGCAGGCCCCATTAGTACCTAGTTGTAGTAACTGGTGAATTAAAACCATTACAAACCTGCAGTTTCAGGATGCTAGTTATTAGAACACCTGTCCATATGACTTTCTAACTTCTTGGCTCTCCTTCTGATCTGACTACCTCCATTAATTTGTTTGCACTCCCTAACTTGAAATCGTGACCTCATTTGTTCCTTTGTCAGTCTAGACACCCATAGCATGACCTGTCCTAAATTCCTACCCCACACTCTTAACCTCCTGACATCTCCACCTACGTGTACCTACCCCAGACCAATTTCACATTCTAACAGAGGGAGATAAACAACCAAAATGTTTAGTGTGCTAAATAAAGAGTAAGAACTACAAGCCAGGCATGGTGGTTCACACCTGTAATCCCAGCACTTCGCGAGGCTGAGGTAGGAGGATAACCTGAGCTCAGGAGTTTTGAGATTAGCTTGGGCAACATAGCAAGACCTCATCTCTACTAAAAATAAAAAAAGTTAGCTGGGTGTGGTGGCACGCATTTTAGTCCCAGCTACTTGAGAGGCTGAGGCGGGGAGGATCATTTGAGCCCAGGCCAAGGCTGCGGTGAACTATGATCACACTACTGCACTCCAGCCTGGGTGATGCTGTCTCAAAAACAACCACCAAAAAATCCCCCAAAAACTATGAGTCTTGGTGCTGAGCAACTGGTAGTCACATGCAGAAGAATGAAGCTGGAGCCCTAAGTCACAATAAAAAAAATTAAAATAGACCAAAGACCTAAATGAAAGAGCTAAAAACATAAAACTCTTAGAAGAAAATAGGCATAAATCTTTATGACTTGGGTTAGGCAATGTTTTCTTAGATATAACACCCAAGCACAAGCAACTAAAGAATAGAAAAGGTGGACTTCATCAAAATTGAAAATTTTGTACTCCAAAAGACACTTCTAAGAAAGGGAAAAATGGTAGGAGAAAATGTTTACAATTCATGTATCTGACAAAGAAGTAGCACCTGAAATTTAAAACACTTGCAACTCAACAATAAAATTATAAGTAAACCAATTTAGAAATTGGCAGAGGATTTGAATACACATTTTTCCAAAGACATACAGATGGCCAGTAAGCACATTTAAAGATGCTCAACATCACTAGTCATTATAGGAATGCAAAATAAAACCATAATGAGATACTTCACACCCACTCGGAAGACTAGAACCAATCTGAAACAAGTGATCACAAGGATATTGGAGAAACTGGAATCCTCTGACACTGCTGGTGGGAATAGTAATATATAATATGGTGAGGCTACTTTAGAAGAGTTTGGCAGTTCCTCAAAGTGATACAGCCTTTCATCTCTAAGTATATACCCAAGAGAATTGGAAATGTTGATACAAAAACTTGTACATGAAAGTTCATAGCAACATCATTCATAATAATGAAACAACCCCAATGTCCAACAGATGAATGTACAATTTAAACGTGGTATACCCATACAATTACCTATATTGTTTAGCAATAAAAACGAAGCACTGATACATGCTAAGCCTCAAAAACATGCTCAAAAACAAGTGTAGAAGCCAGTCTCTGAAAAACAAATTGTATAACCCTGTTTATATGAAATGACCAGAATGAGAAAATCTAGGCCGGGCACGGTGGCTCATGCAGCTGTAATCCCAGCACTTTGGGAGGCCAAAGCGGGTGGATCACCTGAGGTCTGGAGTTTGAGACCAGCCTGGCCAATATGGTGAAACCCCATCTCTATTAAAAATTCAAAAATTAGCCAGTCGTGGTGGTGGGTGCCTGTAATCCCAGCTACTCGGGGAGGCTGAGGCAGGAGAATCACTTGAATCCGGGAGGCGGAGGGTGCATTGAGCTGACAATGTGCCACTGCACTCCAGCCTGGGTGACAGCAAGACTGTCTCAAAAAAAAAAAAAAAAAAAAAACAGAAAAAAGAAACTAGAGACAATACAATAGTGGCTGCCTAGGACTGAGGAATTTGGGAGGAAAGAAGAAAATGATGACTAATAACAATAGAATTTCTTTTTGGGGTGATGAAAATGTTCAAGAATTTTAAGAGTGGTGATGGTTGCATAACTTTGAGAATATAAGAAATTCTTAAATTGTACACTTCAAAAGGTGACTTTTGGCCAGGTGTAGTGGCTCCCAAAGTGGCTGTAAAACATTCCAGCACTTTGGGACGCAGAGGAGGACTGCTTGAGACCAGGAAGCTTGAGAACAGCCTGGGCAACATAGCAAGACCCCATCTCTTAAAAAACAAAATAGTGCTTGGTAGCACACACATTAATCCCAGCTACTCAGCAGGCTGAAGCGGGAGGATTCCTTGATCCCAGGAGTTAAAGGCTGCAGGGGACTATGATTGCGCCACTGCACTCCAGCACAAGACCCTGTCTCTTTTTTTCTTTTTGAAAAGAGTGACTTTTATCTAAAAAGTTAAAACTATAGAAGAAATTAAAGCAGGGAAGACTGATAGAGTGTGAGTTTGTGTGTGTGTTCTATCTTAAATAAGGTTGTCAAAAAAAAAAAAGATCTCAATCAAGCACAAAGAATAATCAAATAGTAAATTGTTAACATTACATATTTAAACTCCACTACCAAAATGACTGAAATATACTTTTGCTAATTTAGAAATCGAGGGACTATAATCCAAACTAAATCCTGAAATTTAAAATTACTGTTTTTGAGAATTGTAAGATTAATCGAACAAAGCCTTAAATCCTTAGTCTATATAAAGATTTTAGATTCCTTTGCCATAGTTTAAGGTAACAAAATTTAATACAGCAACAAGGACAAATGTGTATTTCAAGTTTTCCAAAAATATTTGTCACAGCTTTGCAGCCACTTTCATGCGTGTTGTATTTTTTAAATTTTCTATTTCTTTTTTTACTGTCTTTGGTTTGCCTAAATCCTCATCGGTCTTTTTTATGCTTGAGTACTCTGTAAACACTTCTGAAACAGAAAGTACACTCCTGGCCAGGCCCGGTGGCTCACGCCTGTAATCCCAGCACTTTGGGAGGTCGAGGCAGGTGCAACACGAGGTCAGGAGTTCAAGACCAGCCTGGCCAACATGGTGAAACCCCGTCTCTACTAAAAATACAAAAGTTAGCTGGGTGTGGTGGTGCACGCCTGTAATCCCAGCTATTCAGGAGGCTGAGGCAGGAGAATCGCTTGAACCAGGGAGGCGGAGGTTGCAGTGAGCCAAGATCACATCACTGCACTCCAGCCTGGGCGACAGAGCAACTGTCTCAAAAAAAAAAAAAAGTACACCCCTGAGTTTAGAGCATCTTCACCTTCCCACAGCAAGAGAGGTGTGACCTCAACTCACCATTTTCAAAGACAGAATAAGGCTTTAAAATAACCATTACAGTCCAAAATCCATATATTTACTTTTTATTGAATTTGTTAATGTTACAGAATTCTTGCACTGCCAAACCATGCCTGAGAATTCAAACAAATGGTACAATGGACAGCCTCATCCACCCATCATACAGTATATTAAAACTTGATTCATTTATATTTTGATATTTTCACAATCTTTTAAAAAGTTATAACAAGAGTTGTAATTTAAATCTGCTGCAGGTCTTCAGATTTCGAGTACAATATGCCTTTACATAACACCTCCACTTACTCATCTGTTCATTCTTCAGTAACATAACCCCCAACAAAATTTTGTTGGGAAAAAATGCAGGGAAAATGCACAGTTCAACGATGAAGAGATTTTTTTAAGGTTTTTCATTCCCAAATAAAAGTCTTCAGTTTACCAAGAATCCCATTTCTGATTTAATCATTCAACCTTCCCTTGGCTGGCTCAGTTACTCACCCAAATATATTAGAAGGCAGGCATCCTGCCTGCCACCTCAAATGTCAACATTGCCCAGATGCGAGTGGCAGGTCCCGTCAGGAGATACTGTAACCCTCCTCGGAGTCCAATTCCTGCACGGACACTTTCGTCAAGACTAAACTCCTATCTGAAAACGCTCCCACGTCAAAATAGTTTTACTCACCCACTTGCTTCACTCTTGCCAGTAGCAAGTCTGCAACTCATGCATTTGGCAAAGGGATTTATTATAGAGAAACCCGGACTCTGCATCAAATGATGACATTACCACTTTCACATATTTCTATTGAACCAGATACAAAACTAGGAAACTGCCAGACCATCTTGTTAGGTGGACACTCTTCTGTAATCCTGGGTAGCTTCCTCAAGTCCCTTTAAATGACCCAAAACTATTAATAGGTATTTTAAGCAATAATTATTAAAAACAGAAGTGCTACATCACCTGTCTTTCGCCCTGACTCTCCAAATGAACATAAAGACACACCAAAAGGCTGGTAACAGAGCTAGCTGGGACAATCACTGCATCTATAGAACAGCCAATACCTTGAAAAACTAGGCACAAGTACATGAGGAATTCTTATCAAAGATCATGCACAATCCATGCCACTTAAATGGGTTTTAGCTGAGGTTTTGCTCATGTTACTCTGAATTTCTAAGGACAGATCAGTGACCCTCTTAGCCTGAGCAGAAAGCATATTCTTCCCACTGCAGTTTCCTACACAATTTAGTCCTGATTAGATGAGGCATTATAGCAGCACCTGAAGTAGAGCCTCCAGAATCCACTGCCCTTTTCATCAAAGGCTATTTGGTTCCACCCTCAGGATTGGCATACTCACGAGACATTTCACAATCCTAATGCATACTTTAGGTTACTTAATTAACCAAGCAATATGCTCTGTCAAAGAACTTATTTCAAGTCAAAGCAAAAAAGGCCTTAATGCAGAACAAAAACAAAACAAAAAAGCACTATCCAAATAAAAAAATTACCAAAAAAAAAAAACCCCCAAGATTATTCTCTCCCTTCCCCTTCCCCCACTTGGTGGACCCCAGTTTGGTTGAATTTATTTTGTGGTTACCTCAGAATACAATTAGTTTAAATTACAAATCACAGCCCTACACAGATGATCTGAACACATCAGTTCTTTTCAGCAGTGTGTTCCAGGAAGTCTAATATAACAACAGCCTACTACAGAGAGTATTCCTTAAGGGTAGGGCACAGGACAGGTTAATTAAGGTCACTTAAATCTTCATCTTTTACAGCAGATCAGAACCCAGATGGCTGACTTTTTATGCAGGATTTCTGATAAGAATCCAGTAGAGCTGGTTGCAAGGTTCACATCGACACTTAATAGTTGTAATCTTCTTATCCAGAAGTTGTGATCCACATGAAGTCCACAATGAGTGCAGCAAATCTGAGGTAGTCAACCCTTATGAAGGCTCAGTATCTGAACATAAAAAGATTTTGAAATGACCACTGGCTGCAGGTTTTGGTTTTTTGTATTTGCAGAGTAAATATGAAAGAACACTGTTGAAACTAGTTCACACATTTATGTAACAATGAAAATTCCCCTAAATCCAATATGCATAGAGCAGTCGTGACACTTTAACTTCCATAGTGCAATAGGGCCGGTCATGAAATCGAGTGGTCTGCATCGGTGTCTGTAGATCCAGCAGAGATCAGATGATGAATGGCTGTTGGTGGTGGTTAGCTGCAGTCTAGTTACCTCAGAAGGGTTAGCAAAGCCCATTCCTTAATTGTATTGTGAGTGGCTGCTTTTCTGATTTTCAAGCACAGCATATTGGTTGTCTAGCTGAAGTTTAAGGGCCTGGTTTTTTGAAACCTCATCCCTACCTCTATTTTTGTGTCTTACTACTTCAAAGCTCTTCTCCATTTCTTTATCCCTAAGGGAAAAGAAATGTAATCAGTAAATATTTCTTCTTCACTAGGGTTTTTGAAAATATTCGTCCTTGAATTTAAAAAAAAGCCACCCCTTAGAAGAATCCTGGGGAGGGGTAGGAGTGGAGGCATATAGAAAATCCTTATCAAACCATTTTAAGGCTTCAATTCAAACAGAAAACACAGAACGCTGTATTGAAGCTCTAGGGTCCTATCTTCTACTGAACAGTATTAACTGTGACCCTATTTCAGGACAAACTTGAAGAAAACTGTTAAAAGCTGTGTAATGACATTCCTCCTAAGACTCTTACTTTTAGCAAGTAATAGATAATACATCTCTCTCTTTATGCACAAGGGTAACAATTTTCTCATTCAAGTAAATTCTACTCATTAGTCAATGATTTCTCCTCACATCGATTTTGTGGGAGTGGATCTGATTAGATCAGGTAAAGAAACTCGAGTGTGGTGAATCACTGCCCTCCCAAGGTCCCTTACACATTTTTTAAGACAGAGCAGAGGAGCAAGTCCACGTGGAGGTTTAAATTCAAGCCAGCTGTGCTCTCAAAGTGGTGAAAAGGCTGGGATTTATTCTAAAAGCCACCCCAAAAAACACATTTCCATCTGATGTCATTTACATTTCTTCCCATTTTATTTATTTTAAAAAATTCATGTCCCTAAAGTAAGATGTAGATGTGCCATATGTAGTCATTTAATTCCAGGTAGCATTCATTTTAAGTACCTGCTGAAATAAGATTATTTTAATATTAGATTTATAAATGCCAACATCTTCTGTCTATAGTCACATTAACTGGGAATACAATTAAACAGCGCTTTTATATTTCTAGTTTCCATATTATAAGGAGCAAAAGCCACTTAATTATAAAAGAATTTTAACTACATTAAAACTTGTCATTGCTATAAAACAACATAAACCAGGGCTAAGATAAACTTTTGCAGACAGAAGACAAAGTGTCTCCAATGCTCTTTGCCCTCCCCCTTTCCTCCCTTCTGGACATATGAAGTCCCACCCTGATTCTCACCTGCCTGTCAGCTGAAGCTCAGGCTTTATTAGTTAAGGAGTAGTCTCTCCCTTGGGTGGGTATGCACATCCCCTATATCCCACTCCCTGGCCTAGGAACAGAAGTCCCAAACAAAATGCAATTAATTATAGTACTTACTTCCGGCTTTCTACATGCTTGGCAGTTGACTGCAGGGATGGGAACTGTGTATCACTGTAGATTTCTGGTGGTCCTTGTGGTGTTTTCCTTGTTGTGGTTAACCTGGCCCCAGGAGGCCTATACACACCACTAGTCATCGCTGGTTCTGGGGTTTCTGTAACTAATATTTTATAACAATTTTTAGATAAACTATTTAAATGCTCAGCATTTTAATAAGCTATTCTTGCATTCCCAATCATTTAACAATTATAGAAAAAACAATACCAGGGTCTCTGGGTCAGACCACAGAAGGGAATTCATTTCAGAAAATGTCTGAAAGTGAAAACAGGCTGGGCGTGGTGGCTCACGCCTGTAATCCCAGCACTTTGGGAGGCCGAGGTGGGTGGATCACCTGGGGTCAGGAGTTCAAGACCAGCTGGGCCAACATGATGAAACCCTGTCTCTACTAAAAATACAAAACTTAGCTGGGCATGATGGCAGGCACCTGTAATCCCAGCTACTCAGGGGGCTGAGGCAGGAGAATGGCTTGAACCTAGGAGGCAGAGGTTGCAGTGAGCCGATATTGAGCCACTGCACTCCAGCCTGGGCAACAGAAGGAGACTCCGGCTCTCAAAAAAGAAAAAAGAAAAGTGAAAACATTGTATTTTTCTAGGGTAGTATTCTAACTCCTCCTCCACGTACAACTTTAGTAATCTACGTAAATGATGAGTTCCACAAGCCAAATTACTGGAAGTAGAAAAGGAATCTGCTGGGCTTGGATGACTGGTCTCATCAGGGACTGCCTCTCAGAATAGGACTTTAGTCCTGTTTCCCTACCAGTAAATATGAATTACTTCTTTACCTGATTGGTGGACTGATTAAGATGCCATATGTAAAGAATTTTTTAATGAAATGCCAGTGTGGTTATTTTTTAAGATTCTAGCCAGGGCTGGGTGCAGTGGCTCAAGCCTGTAATCCTAGCACTTCGGGAAGCCCGAGGCAGGCAGATCACCTGAGGTCAGCAGTTCAAAACCAGCCTGGCCAAAATGGTGAAACCCCGTCTCTACTAAAAATACAAAGATGTAGCGGGGCATGGTGGTGCACGCCTGTAATCCCAGCTACTTGGGAGGCTGAGGCAGGAGAATAGCTTGAACCCGGGAGGCGGAGGTTGCAGTGACCCAAGATTGTGCCACTGCACTCCAGCCTGGGCAAGAGAGTGAGACTTTGTCTTAAAAAAAAAAAAGAAAAAGAAAAAAAGATTCTAGCCAGGCACAATGGCTCACGCCTGTAATCCCAGCACTTTGGGAGGCCGAGGCGGGCAGATCACTTGAAGTCAGGAGCCAGACTCTGTCTCAAACAAAACAAACAAAACAAAAAGATTCTAAAGATGATTTAAAAACATAAGACCGGGTGTGGTGACTCACACCTGCAATCCCAGCACTTTGGGAAGCTAAGGTGGGAGGATTGCTTGAACCCAGGAGTTGAAGACTAGCCTGGGCAACATAGTTAAGATCTCATCTCTACAATAAAATAAACAGGTGGCATGCCCCGGTAGTCTACTTGGAAGGCTGGGGTGGGAGGATCACTTGAGCCCAAGCAGTTGAGGGGCTGCAATGAGCCATGATTGCATGACTGCTCTCCAGCCTGGGCCAGAGTGAAACCCTGTCTCTAAAAAATATAAAAATAAAAATTTAACATAGAGTAGTTATCTGTGATTTCTGCATAACAAGATTTGGAGTGATATGTTATTCTTTATAACATTCTAAATAAAATAATGAGTATACACTTCTTTAAAGTAGTGCTCTTAAACTTTCATTATTGCCCTAAGGAGACCTTTCAGACATCTGTTTCCTAACTGCCCCCCACTCCATGAAATTTTAATACTGCGATATACTATACATCTGTTTATGCATTCTAGTCTTTTCGTGGGCCACAAATGACTGTTAAGGTATAAGATTCCTTCATTCCATAAGAAGCAACTTTTACCACCTTGAGAATGATAAAATTGGCCCTGCTGAGAATTCATGCTTCAAAGAACAGGAAAGTTAAATAGGGAATGAAAAAGACAAAGCACAAGTGAAAGACAAGGGCCCCTTGTCTTTCTGTCTTTACTCAGCTGTCAAAAATATTTTAAATGATAAAAGCTTTAGGAATTTTCTCTCTCATGAAAACTTTTGGAGTTAAACCCAACCCTAGGGTAGTTACCACTAAAAATCCTAAATGAAGCTGACCTTGGATTCTAGTAAATTAAAGTCTTTTCCTTACCTTTTCCTCCATTAGCAAGTAGTTAATATTTAACGAGAATATTAGAAGAAATGCTCAATTCCAATAAATGAAACTGGAATCGACTAGTCTATATCTATATAAATTTTACAGCAACATACAGGACAAAAGCATGTCTTTTAACTTCCAGATTCCTTTTATTTAGGATTTTAAAGTCTTTAACAAGATATATACACATCCCACTCTACCAGGAATGGAAAGGAGCCTCTCCTCCTCACCCTACCACAATCATGCACTTAGTTGAAAGTGGACCATATATAAAATCATATATAAATTAGACATCTTTCTGAAACTGAAATAGTAAAATTACCAATTACTGGAGCAGGAGGTGCTTGTACTGGAGCTGTTTTATTCCAGGGACCTGAAGATTTTTCCATACCTCCACCACCACCTCCACCTTCTTCCCAGTTATCACCTGGATCTTGTCTCTTTTCATTATCGTCTTCTTCCTTTTCACTGCTGGAAAAGCAAAGATGTAAATTCATTAAGGAATCACCAAGAAAATTTTCAGTCCAAATCGTTAGTTTTATCCATGATTATCTGTACGACCCTGAAGAAGTCAATCTCTTTCGAGACTGAACGTCTTATTTAAAAAGTGAGGCCAGGTACAGTGGCTCACACCTGTAATCCCAGGACTTTGGGAGGCCAAGATGGGTGCACCACCTGAGGTCAGGTGTTCAAGACCAGGCTGGGCAACATGGCGAAACCCATCTGTACTAAAAATACAAAAATGAGCCAGGCATGGGGGCACACACCTACAATGCCAGCTACTGGGGAAGCTGAGGCAGGAGAATCCCTTGAACCCGGAAGGCAGAGGCTGCAGTGAGCTGAGATCGTGCCACTGCACTCCCTCCTGGGCGACAGAGCGTGACTGTCTCAAAAAAATAAAAATAAAAAAAACCTGATGTGCCTCTGTGACAATATGCCTGATCATTTATAGCAGCCCCACATAAGAGCAAGACCCCAGTTACCACCTCAAGCGACTAAGGGAGGGAAGAGAGGATGATACAACCTGAAATGCAGAGAAGAAGGTGAGCTGAAGGATTAAGAGCACAATTACAAAATTTTCCTTGCACCAAAGTGTACAAACAGGCATTTAAGGTAAGCATATTTTTAGTGAGCAAATGAAGAGTTTTGAAAGTTGTATAATTTTATTTGCCAATCCTTTCGCACATAAAATACTCTCAGAATTAGAATTCACATTCCAGCAGATGAAAACAAGTCTGTGTCCAGTGTTTACAGAGGATAGAATTAGCCCCTAACACCAGACATGTATTTATCACCTGTTTAAAAAAAATATATAAGATCTCAGTCTTTGGCTTTCCAGATGTTATAAATGGAAAAGATACCCTCAGTGGTAACATACCATCTTAAGACTGCTTGCAGTATTTTCTCAATGCTAATTAATTTATTCTTGAATTGACTTGAGTCATAATCTATTTCTCCAAGGCATCTTTGATTATTTCTCTTTTTGCTGGATTACTTTTTATTATTTTGTGTAACTTTACATGTCCTAAATTACCAAGTGTATTTATCTTTTGTCTCTTGACAAAAGGGATACTGACAACAGGGATATTAAAGCACAATAATGGCTAAATCGAACGTCCTTTTTGCAACTCTTCACCTCGAAGATACACCTGGCAGAAACTACCAACATTTTCATAAAATTATTTTTCATGACAATGGTGGCTTTTCCTAGGTCTTCAAGCTTCTCAACTCCTTCACCATTCTACCTTTTCCCCACCTTCCTATAAAAAAAAGGCTGGTTCCCAAAACTCTGTCCCTTGCCTTCTACTCATCACCCTGACTCTCTTAACTGTATAACCTTAGGAACATCACAGCCTCTCTTGGCTTCTGCAAAAGGATATCTAAGGATGCTTTCCTTCCATTTCTATTAAAACAAGACACATGCTGGCTATAAGACAAAGTTCTTGACTAGCTTGACAGTCTCCTTTAAAGATACTTAGGAAAAAAGTAAGTGGCAAAATGCCATTCAAAAATAATGGCACTGGCCAGGCGCAGTGGCTCACAACTGTAATCCCAGCACTTTGGGAGCTGAGGCAGGCCGATGACCTGAGGTCAGGAGTTGGAGACCAGCCTGGCCAACATGGCAAAACCCCATCTCCACTAAAAACACAAAAATTAGCCAGGTGTGGTGACACATGCCGGTTAGCTACTTGGGAGGCTGAGGCAGGAGAATCAGGTGAACCTGGGAGGCAGAGGTTGTAGTGGGCCAAGACTGTGCCACTGCACTCCAGCCTGGGTGACAGAGCGAGACTCCGTGTCAAAAATAAAAAATAAAAAATAATGGCAGCATTGTATGAATTACCTACCAACCAGAAGTGACTGCAGAATTTGGAGGCTAGAGTGACAATGAGGAAGAGTGGAAAGAAGAACAGATTTATCTCGTCTACATTTACAGCAAGATTTTACTTACAACTTTATCTGAGAGGAAAAAGGATAGAGAATATGGCAATTCATCCCTAAGAGGTCTGAGAAAGAAAAAAATGCAATTTAAAATAAAAATATAGCCAAGCCATCTCTCAGTTTTCCTTTTCGTTAACATGTAAGAGAATTCTATGCAGCCATTTAAAATGTAAACCCTATGCTGACATGGAGGTAGTATTCATGTCATATAAACCAAAATTCACTAAAACAACATCTATATACCTAATATAAATACAAAAACATCTACAACAATTTTAAAAAGTTTTATAGAGTAGCTCTGGGTGCTAGAATGTATGACTTTATCTTCTTCATGCAGCAAGCAATTAGGAGCAGATTCTAAAGTCAGGCTTCCTGGTTCAAATCCAGGCTCTGCCACTTACCAGCCAGGAAACTTTGAACATGGCACTTCATTTCTTTATACCTCAATTTCCTCTTATGTAAAATGGAGGTGACAACCCCATAATAATCAGCACTATTTACTGATTATCCCTAAATAGAAGAGACTACAGATAATTCTTACATATTTCTTTATGCTTCTACATTTTTCTCAAAAAAATTTCTAAAAACAAGCATATTATTTTTATAACCTACATAAAAAATCATTTTTTATTTTTAAAAATTAATTTTTAGAGACAGGGTCTTGCTCTGTCACCCAGGCTGGAGTACAGAGGCCCAATCTTAGCTCACTGCAATCTTCAACTCCAGGGCTCAAGAGATACTCCCACCTCAGCCTCCCAAGTAAGCTAGAACTAAAGGTGCAGACCACCACAATTGGCTAATTTTACTTTTTTACATTTTTTTGTAGAGACAGGGTCTTGCCCAGGCTGGTCTTGAACTCCTGGCCTCAAGTGATCCTCCTACCTCTGCCTCCCAAAGTGCTGGGATTACAGGAGTGAGCCACCACGCCCAGCCTCACAGAAAGCTTTTAAATAAAAACTCCTATTTGGTCTGATGGAATAGTGACAGTATCTCAACTGGAAGTTTTTTTTTTACTGTCTAGTGTCTAACATCTCCTTGCCCTTAGGAAAAAAATTAAAAAATAAAATAATCTCAAATTTAAAATACACCTAGTTTACAAACTATTACCAAAAAATAAGCATAATCTGTTTAATTAGAGGGATTGTACATCAATAATAAAAGGCACAAGGAGACAATTTAGTATTTTGGATTCTTGGCCAGGTGCAGTGGCTCATGCCCTAATCCCAGCACTTTGGAAGGCCAAGGTGGGAGGATCACTTGAGGCCAGGAGTTCAAAACCAGCTTGAGCAATATAGCAACACAGTGAGACTCTGTCTCTATTTTTTTTTTTTGAGATGGAGTTTCACTCCTGTTGCCCAGACTGGAGTGCAATGGCCTGATCTTGGCTCACTGCAACCTCTGCCTCCCGGGTTCAAGCAATTCTTCTATCTCAGCCCACCAAGTAACTGGGATTACAGGCATGCGCCATCATGCCCAGCTAATTTTTTGTATTTAGTAGAGACGGGGTTTCACCATGTTGGCCAGGCTGGTCTCGAACTCCTGACCTCAAGTAATCCACCTGCCTCAGCCTCCCAGAGTACTGAGATTACAGGCGTGAGCCACTGTGCCCGGCCAAAAGAAATTTTTTTAAATAAATATTTTGGGTTTTTCCAAATGTACATTAATAATAGACTGGATAAAGAAAACGTTGCACATATACCCCAAGGAATACTATGCAGCCATAAAAATGGATGAGCTCATGTCCTTTGCAGGGACATGGATAAAGCTGGAAACCATCATTCTCAGCAAAATATCACAAGGACAGAAAACCAAACACTGCATGTTCTCACTCACAAGTGGGAGTTGAACAATGAGAACAAATGGACACAGGGAGGGGAACATCACACACCAGGGCCTGTTGGGGGGTGGGGGACTGGGGGAGGGATAGCGTTAGGAGAAATACCTAATGTAAATGACAAGTTGATGGGTGCAGCAAACCACCATGGCACATATATACCTATGTAACAAACCTGCACGTTGTGTACATGTACCCTAGAACTTAAAGTATAATAATAATAAAAATAAATAAGTATTTTGGGTTAAGATTCTGAAATACTAGCTAAACTAAACATGTGGAAATTGTCTAGTCAAGACTCTTTATCAGCCGGGCGCAGTGGCTCATGCCTGTAATCCCAGCATCTTGGGAGGCAGAGGCGGGCAGATCACTGGAGGTCAGGAGTTCGAGACCACCCTGACCAACATGGTCAAACACTGTCTCTACTAAAAATACAAAAATTAGCTAGGCGTGGTGGCACATGCCTCTAATCCCAGCTACTTGGGAGGCTGAGGCAGGAGAATCGCTTGAACTTGGGAGGTGGAGGTTGCAGTGAGCGGAGATTGCGCCATTGCACCCCAGCCTGGGTAACAAAAGCAAAAACTCTATCAAAAAAAAAAAAGAACGAACAAACCAAAAACACTCTTCATCCAACAATTGAAGGAATTGAAGCCCAGAGATGCTTAGAGGCTTGCCTAAATGCCAGTTAGCAGGGTAGAAATGATTTACATATTTTATTACTTTTTCATCTTTACATATTTCAGAAAGTATCAACTCTCCAAATGTCATAGCAGAACAAGAAACACGTTCCAAACGGTTATTTCCATGGGAGACAGGCTGAAATTCAGTGTTTGACCCAAATATAATATATAGCTTCCCATCAGCTAAATTTTATAAACAAACACTACAATACTGCTGTAAATTCATCACAATTCCACATATACGGTCTTAAATATGTGTAAGTCTGTAAGGCACTACTGGTAAGGTGAGGAGAATAATGATGCTACAAAAGGGAGACTTACTGAATATCTACTACAGCAGGCAGCATTCCACCCCACTGTACAAAGTTAAACCTCACAGTAACACTAAGGCAGCCAAGAGACCCACTGTATGTATGTATGAGGAAACATAAGTACCTTCCCCAGGGCTACAAAGTAGCAGAGCCAAAATAGTGTGGGATTCTAGAGGCTCTATTATTTCACATTACCTTTTAATTCATTTTATCCCCTTTATAGCTCTAAGGTATGATGCAAAAATATTCTCTAAGATTTGAGAAATGCATTTTCTTTAGTAAGGCTGATAGGATCACACATCCTGCAGCAGTATATTTATAAAGAATAGAACAGCCTTATCTCTTTACCTCAAGAGACATGAGAATTTATACATCCTAACTCCCCTTCCCCAACACTAGGGGGAAGCAGCTAAAACAAAAATCAGACTGGATTGAGCTGCTGGAATACCGGGCATCTCCACAGGTTTGTCCCTATTATACCTAGCATTGCTGCAACAGTAAAATGGGGAGATACACATGGCCTGATCAGCTATGCCTGGCCTGGAGGCTTAAAATGGCACTGCACCTCATCCAAAGAATCTTTCCTGACCCCTTCATGGATGATGAAATGTCTCTCCTCTGCCCCAGAGCACCATGCACATCTCTTTGAAATTATCTACTGTTGTCTATTACAGCATGACTTATTTCTACAACCAGAGAACCTCAGTGTCTAGCAGAGTAGTCACATAAGTATTTGCTAGAATAAATCCACCTTGGATAATGTAACCAGCTCTACCTAAAAGGTTTAAGTCTAGATTTCTCACCAAAGTTTCTAGAAAACCACTGGGCTCCAAGAACTCAATTATTTACTGAAACGTGACAAATGCTCAACAGTGTATACCTTCAAGAATTAAATCTTTCTAACATTCTCCCAAAAATCCACTTTAAAGATGGAAGTGGCTGGGCCTAGCAGCTCATGCGTGTGATTCCTTTGCTTTGAGATCACTTGCGGCCAGGAGTTTTGAGACCAGCCTAGGTAAAATAGACCTCATCTACAGAAAAAAAAAGTAAGATTAGTCAGGGGTGGCAACTCACACCTGTAGTCCCAGCTACTCGGGAGGCTGAGGTGGGAGGATCACTTGAGCCCAGGAGTTCAAGACTACAATGAGCTATGATCATGCCACTGCATTCCAACCTGGGTGACAAAGTGAGACTGTCTCAAAAAAATGAAAAAATAGAGATGAAAGAGGCCTACAGGGCCTACAAACAACCAAGGATCTAACTCAAATGACAGCCTCCTTTATAACCACCTCAATGGCTTCCCTCTCAAGAATCTGTCTATAACAGCATGACCTTGAATAAGATCTGTTAATTCAGACACAAAACTGGGCACATTAAGTACCTTGGTACTTAAATCTTGAGCTGGTTGGTAAATGTGAAATAGGATCTTAATATATAATACGTTTGCTGCTAATGAAAAATTTCCCCTTTCAAATGTACAGGTAAAGAACTAATATGCTAACTACTATAAGGACCAGGGTCAAGAACTTTAAGATTGTATGTGACATCTGGCTGGGCTCAGAGGCTCATGCCTGTGATCCCAGCACTTTGGAAGGCCGAGGTGGGTGGATCACCCGAGGTCGGGAGTTTGAGACCAGCCTGAACAACATGGAGAAACCCCGTCTCTACTAAAAACACAAAATTAGCCAGGCGTGGTGACACATGCCTGTAATCCCAGCTACTCGGAAGGCTGAGGCAGGAGAATCGCTTGAACCCGGGAGGCTGAGGTTGCGGTGAGCTGAGATCGCACCATTGCACTCCAGCCTGTGCAACAAGAGCGAAACTCTGTCTCAAAAAAAAAAAAAGAAAAAAAGACTGAATGTGACATCTGCAGCTCTCAGTATACCGAGAAATAGAAAAAGATAAAGCACATGTAGCAGAGACTGGTGGATCTGAGTGAAGAACATATGGGAAGGAGTGTTTCTCAGTGTTGCAGGTTAGTGGAATACCTCTACTAGGATGGCCACTTAGGGCCAATGACTAGATGCTAAGAAAACAAAAAAAACAATATAAAAGCTAGTCTAGGCCGGGTGCTGTGGCTCACACCTGTAATCCCAGCACTTTGGGAGGCTGAGGCGGGCGGATCACGAGGTCAGGAGTTCAAAACCAGCCTGACCAACATGATGAAACTCCGTCTCTACTAAAAATACAAGAATTAGCCAGGTGTGGTGGCGGGCGCCTGTAATCCCAGCTACTCGGGAGGCTGAGGCAGAAGAATCGCTTGAAACCAGAAGGCGGAGGTTGCAGTGAGCCGAGATTTTGCCACTGCACTCCAGCCTGGGCAACAAGAGGGAAACTTCGTCTCAAAAAAAAAAAAAAAAAAAAAAAGCTAGTCTACCTTCAGGTTGAACAGAACTTAAATGCTTGTACTAGCTGATACTTACTTATATCCCTGGCAAGGGTGAAGTATGTAAGTTATTTAAGACACTTTTCACTATCTCAAAAGTAACCAAAATAGATCAAGATCAAAATAACCCTGAAGATGAACATGTAATTTATAGTCAGTAACAGAAAAACACAGGTTCTGTTTAAATAATCTCCATAGTTTAACAAAATCAATTTCTAATCCTCAGTGAACTTGAAACCAAAATTTTATCTTCAGAAAAGTGCTATTTTGCCAAGTTCAACATGGCCAAACACTATTCTTCCAGTCACTCACGTTTTCAAGAACCTGCAGTCACTTAGGAAAGAAAAGACTTAAGAAGAGCCAAACTTTACAACAGAACCGGAGCCACACACACAGGCAGTTCCACAACACCAAATGGTAAGAACCTCACATTCCCTCCTCCCCATTATTTACAGGTCAAGCCCCAGGAGACAGAAAAGAGAAAGACACATTAAGGAAGCCAACAAGTGGTTGGGAATCAAACTCAAGTCTAATCACTTCTACTCAACACCACTACAAAGAAATCTCAAGAGTGGAGAAGCCATCGTTCCTGAAAGTTTCCCATTATCAATCTGGGGGTTTCACTTTGGTTAAGCTCACAAAATGATGTTTTCACAGTAGGACATTAATGCCTAGCTGTGGTAGGTGTTCAACAAATGTCAATAATATTAACCCTGCTTTTTGAGTAAGTTATCTAAAGCTATAGATACTAACATCCAGAGAAGTCAAAAGACAGTTTTCAGTTAAGGAAAGTATTTCCTCCACTGTGCCTCGCACTCACTGGCATTGCCTATAAAATGCAACCTTCAAACTGGAGACAGTTTATCAAGATCCTTTATTTCTTTAAACCGGGAGCAAAGGATTTTTTCATCTTACAGCAGAACCATATCTTCATTTGTTTTTTCCTACTTTATGAACCCTCCAAAATATAGCACTTACTTAACATCAACCTTAAAGTTGACTGCCATAGACTGGACTTGACAAAATGTTAATTTCAAATCTTCTAAACTACCCAATTTTTAAAAATTACTATTTTTTTGAACTTTAAAAAATAACATGTTTACAAATATAATTCCATTCCTATGAAGTTTTAGAAAAAATTATGGTGTTAGAATAGTGGTTATGTTGAAGGTGAATGCAGTGAGTATGTGTTAGGAGGGGAACCTTGTTCTGTATCAGTAATACTCAGTTTCTTGACCTGGTGCTTATTGCACAGGTTGGTTGCACTGTGTGAACACATAAAACCTCTATCTCTCTGTAAGTATGATATACTTCAATTACAAAAACATATATTCACTTGCTTATTGGAGAGGATGTGAAAAACATCCACATTACTTTTGAAACCAAAACTAAGTACAATCACCGATGTTAAAAGTAAAAATTTTGAAGCGACAAAATCCACTTTAGCTGTCTCAAATGAAAAGTCCTAACCAGAACTGGAAGTAGGCAAGCTCTCACAGGATTTTAGAGTCAGCAGCTAATTTCATGAGCACACGGAAGGGCTGCCTCCATGGAGTGAGAAAGAGTAGACAGAACCCATTTGAGTCCTAATAAGCATATCTAGAGCACAAGGCTACTATGATGCTGCTTTGGGGCCAAAGGAAAACCTAACTTGTATCCAATATCTATCCCAAAGGTTATCTAAACACATTTGTAACCAGACTATACCTTATTTGCATTGCCTGAACCCTGAGGCCGCTGTAATCAACCTCTTTTTGCTCCAATTCTTTCCATTCATCTTCGTCCTGTAAAACAAACGCCATTTGATCAATTAAAGCTATTTGTAGACATATAACTAAGCAAATAACACACTACGAAAAGTGGATCAAGTGGCTGGAACCTAAACTAAGTATGTACTTGTCTTCTGGTCAAAGCCCTTGCTTCGTTCTGGGGCAAACTAGGCTAAATGGAGGACAAACATGCTCGTAGGCTAACACTATACTTCCGCTGGGTTCCTGCATGGGAGCTGTTACTTTAAGCAACTAAGAAAAGCCGAAGGAAGAAGTCAATAGGAATTTCACAACTACATTTCTACTTCAACCTTGCCACCGAGAGTTTTCTTTTTCTTTCACGGGCTTAGAGACTAAGTCATCACAAAAGAGCTGCTACAAATGCGGCTGCTGAAAGCGAAAATTCAGCTCAAACTACTGGGCTGAGGTCAGCACACGGAATTACTCAGCCTAGACGTCACCCGATAAACGCTGCTCTGTGCTGGGCACTGCGGCCCCAGACCTAGTGCCCCCGGAGGGTGGCGCCGCCCGGGCCTTGGCTAACGCCGAGCGACGCGGGGTGGGAAGGGCGGCTCCACCGCGGATATCGGAAGGGGTCCCGGCCCTGGCGAGCCCAGCCCGAGGTGGAGAGCCTGCGTCACGTGGCGGCCCGCGCCCGTCCGCCCGGCCTCCGCGGCCCCTCCCGGACGCTTCCCCGGCAGGCGGGGGCGGGCACATGGGGCGCCGGCGCGCGGCCCGGGCCCCGAGTGCCGGCCTCCCGGCCCCTCACCTTCGTCACAGCCTTGGTGGCGGCCCCTGGGCCCGCAGCCCCCGCGCTGGCGGTCCCGCCGTCACCCGGCCGGGTCCCCGCGCCCGCCCCGCCGCCCGCCGCACCCGCGGCTCCACTGCTTCCGCCGGCGCTGCCCGCTGCGCCCGCGGCACTCGCCGCCCGGTTGCTCCGCTCCTTCTTCTTCTTCTTGTCCCTCTTGGCAAAGAAGTTGTCCAGGCTCCGCTCCTCCGTCTCAGCCATGGCCTCGGCCTCCTCGACCCGGATGGGTGGGGCCGGCGGCGGGCGCGGCCCGCGGGGCTCCGAGCTCGGGGTCGAGGCCGGCTCTGCGCTCACGCTGCCGGGCGCGGCGACGCCTCAGCCCCGCGGGGTCGCCGAGGCGTGCGCGGCGAGACGGGCGGCTCCCCCTGCGTGCTGGCGAGCGGTGGTACGGTCCGCCCGGGGGCTCGCGCGCCGCCGCTGTCGCCCGAGGCTGCCGGGGCTGCCGCTGCTGCTGCGACGGCGGAGCAGGATTCCGCTCTCCCCACAACCTGAGGGGAAAAGGCACGCGCGAGCCAGAGGTTCTGGCGAGAGTGCTCGGCTAGCAGCGGCGCGTGCCGGAGGAAGAGGCGCGCGCGCAGGCCTGGAGAGGAGGGGAAGGGAGTGGGGAGGGGAGGGAGAGGGAGGAGGGAGGGCGGGCCGCTAGAAGAGAGAGGAAGCGCCTGCGCCTGCGTATTTTGCTCTGCCTGCCGCTGTGGGATCGCCAAGGGGCGGGCGGCGGGAGGAGATGGAGGCGGAGCTGGAAAGAGAGCCAATCAGGTGCCAGGACGAAGCTCTTAGGTGACAATCCCTGACCCAGACGGGGCGGAGTCCAAGCATGGGGGCGGGGAGAGGAGGGCATATGCAAAATAAGTGACGTGCCGGGCGACTCCGGTTTCCCGATTGGCCGAGGGTTTAGTCTTGAGGGCGGGCATGTTGAGGGCTGGTTGATGACTTGGCTAAAGAGGTCCAGCAGGAGGGGCAGTGGGTTCCTTTTGGACGCATGCGCAGGATGCACGTGTGTTTCCTGGCCCAGAACAAACCGTGGCCCCATAGTAGTCGTTTGAACTGTCGCGAAACGGACAGGCACTGCGTTAAGCCAACTGTGTTAAAGATTGTTCCTCTCCTCTGATCGCTTCTGTACTTCCACCCCCTCTGGAGTGGCAACCATTACTTTTCTTCTTTACCGGTTGATTGTGAAAGTGAGAGGAGCAGTGAGCCTGAAGTTTAGGTCCCATTTACTAAAAGATCTTTCATAGGCTGGTTGGTAGGTAGAAAGGGATTTTGTCTGAACTCCACCCTCTGGATTATGTTTACCAAGGTCAAGTTCAATAAATCCTATCGTCAAGTCCCTAATCTGTAAAGTGGGTATACTATTTCTTACAAGATAGGGGGATGGAGGGAAGAGAGTCAACATTATTAGCTGCTCAGCACATTGCTTAACGCCCTGACTTGAGTCTAGATGATGATACAGTTTATCCTTAGCTTCTATCCCTGATAAAAGGAGGGGACTGTCTTATCATAGGGGTGGAGACCAAAATGCCCAGGCGAAAGCCAGGTTTAAATGGGTTTAAAGCCCATTTAAATACCCTTGGGGCCTTGAAAATGAAATGAATTCTATATGCAAAAGGTGGTCTAAAGTAAGCTCTTAAACTTTCTACTTCCTCCTTCTAAAAGCAGAAGAGGGAGCTGTCACAACCATTGAGGAAATGACTCAGACAAATGTTGGTAGCCATATGGGGTAGATAGAATCCAGCCAGTAAATGGAGAGACTTCTTCGTCTTTTCCTTTACAGTTACCCCATTAAAGTTTCTCTTTTCCTACCCCCTACTTACACTGCTATTAAAGAATTAACTTCTGGCTGGGCGCGGTGGCTCACGCCTGTAATCCCAGCACTTCAGGAGGCCGAGGCAGGCGCATCACCTGAGGTCAGGAGTTCGAGACCAGCCTCACCAAAATAATGAAACCCCGTCTCTACTAAAAACACGAAAATTAGCCGGGCGTAGTGGCTAACGCCTGTAATCCCAGCTACAGGTTGAGGCTGGAGAATTGCTTGAACCCGGGGGTGCGGAGGTTGCAGTAAGCCGAGATCGCCTCATTGCAATCCAGCCTGGGCAACAACAGTGAAACTCCGTCTCAAAAAAAAAAAAAAAGTCTAACTTCTGAATGTCAAAAGAAATCAAGGACCTAGCCTTGGCCAGCAAGTAGCTTGAGCTTATACATATACTATTCCCCAAACATGAACAGCTCCCAAGGTGACTTCCTTCTATGACAACATATATCTTCCTGTGATGCAGGCCAGGTTCAGTACTGCCCATCACCATCACCCTCCCTTACCATCGCTAATCAAATTTATTTTCTTTCTTTTTTTTCTTTCCTTCTTTTTTCTCCCTTCCTCTTTTCTTTCCTTCTTTTCTTCCTCCCCCCTCTTTCTTCCTTCCTCCCTCCCTCTCTTTCATTTATTTATTTATTTATTTACTTACTTATTTTTTGAGGCAAAGTCTTGCTCTTGTCACCAGGCTGGAGTGCAATGGCATGTCAGCTCGCTGCAACCTCTGCCTCCCAGGATCAAGCGATTCTCCTGCCTTAGCCTCCTGAGTAGCTGGGATTACAGGCACCCGCCACCACACCCAGCTAATTTTTGTATTTTTAGTAGAGACGGGGTTTCACCATGTTGGCCAGGCTGGTCTCAAACTCCTGACCCTCGTGATCCACCCACCTCAGCCTCCCAAAGTGCTGGAATTACAGGTGTGAGCCACCATGCCCGGCCCTCTCCCTCTCTTTCTTTCCTCATCTATGAAGCACTTATTTTGCTATATTTCGGGCAAAGTGCTTTATTCAAAAGTGAGTAATTTGTGATTCCTGCATTCAATTCCCTTATAATCTAGAAGAGAAGATCTAGATATAAATAAGTTTCAGTTATTTATATCTTTCTTAAGTCCTTATCAATTCATCATTGTCTTGAAAGAATTAATGACTTGAGAAAATACACAGAAGGAACAGTAGTTGAGGGCTGACGCTGCAGAATTTCCCACTACATTTTTCAGTGTGATTGATGGCATGATCCCAGAACTTGATCATGTGTAAGAAATTCAGGTCAGGCCAGTAGAGAGACCAGTGTCTTTGTGGTTGTGTCATTGTTTGTAGTAATTCTCTCCTCTGTGAAGCTGGTCCCTTCCTCTTTGAATCACCTGCCCTAAAATTGACAGCATCTGTTCCCATCAGTTGCTCCTTTTAAACCTCCCCTACCACCCTTCTCCAGATTGGTTGCACAGTGCCCTGAATCATGCTATCATTATCATCGTTACCAGACACCCCCTCATCTTTGAAGCATCCTTCTGCCCTCTCTCTCTTTTTTTCTTTTTAAGAGGCGGGGCTCAAGCAATCCTCTGGCTTCAGCCTCCAGAGTAGCTGGGACTACAGGCAGGTGCCATCATGTACAGCTGAATTTTTTTTTTTTTTTTTTTACATTTTTAGAGAAAGGGATCTTGCTATGTTGCCCAGGCTGGTCTGGAACTCCTGGGCTCAATTGATCCTGCTGCCTTGGCCTCCTGAGTAGCTGGGATCACAAGTAGGAGCCGCTGTGCCCGGCTCCTCCAGCTCTCTCTTGACAGAGGTGTCTTCCCCTCTGCTGTCCAATGTGTTTGGACCGTCTGCATACTTAAAGCAAACAGACTTTCACTTGTACTTGCCAGATGGAAAACTTGTATAGTAATGCAGACTATTCCCAGGTATTTCTGCACATCTTCCAAGGTTCCTAATGCTGTCTGAACATGGCAGTTTCCCTCTGGGTCCTCTGAAGTGGTGCAATCCGAAGGACATCATATATCTCCCTCAACAAGGCCTGCTGAGTTCCAATATTCCATGAGCTCAAGAGCTGGCAAAGGGCAGTTGAGCCCAGCCCCATTGTTTCTGAGTTCTTTTCTGCTGAGCTATTTGATCCAAGATCCATTCTGCTACCTAGGCTGGAAATTCCACTCATGCTCAGCTCAAAGGAATGCAGCTCATGCTGGCCAAAGTGTTCACCAGGAAATGGGTGGCTAGAATTCTTCTTTTCATTTCTGGTTTCCTCTCTAACATCTGTAAGGCCAACTATGCCACTGCCTGAACTGTCCCCTTTTCAACTGGGGAGCAACTACTTACAGGTCATCTCTTCTGGGAGTCTTTTCTTATTCTCTACAGGCAGCTTGATTTCCTAAACTTCAGAGGCCCAGAGTCTTTTCATTTGGTATGATCGTTGATGCCTTCCTGGTATTCGCATGATTGGTTTGTTATTTAACCACTCTCATTCATTCACTCAAGTATATAAAACATGTATTTAATGAGCACCTACTATATGCCGGGCCCTATGTTAGGAGTTAAAGGAGAGATAAGCCCTGCCTTCACAGAGCTTATTGTACACTAAGCTGGTAACTAGAAGGAGACACACAGGAACACCTACAAAAGCACATTGAAAACTCTTGAAGGCAGGAATGGCATTGAGCATATAGCCTATATCACACAAGCATTTAACTGATGTTTGTAAAATGAAAAATGTCTCCATTAATCTCCAGTTTTCCACATTAACAGAGGACTGCACAAATCATGGACTCTAAAAGTGTTTCCTTGTTGGCTTATGAGCATAGGCTAACTCTGCCACACATAACAAATAATTCAACCTTCTCCCTCAACCTCAAGTTCCTCCTTAGCTCATTTTTGACATTAGGGTCCTAGTTGGAGGATACATGGAGAGCAAGAGGAGGCCCCAGACAACAGCAACTATCCAGGAGAGCTTATTTCCAGAAAGAGAAAAGGGCTGCCATACACCCCCCTTCTCCTAGACACAGACACACACACACACACATACACCCACCACCATGGCTTGAGAAGGGAGTCAGACTCATTAACCCCACCCCCAATGGGTCTGGTTTGCTGATTGTTGAACCACATAAAATTGCTGCTATTTGACTGTTTTTGACCTGCCAAAAACAATCATTTCAAAAGGTTAAACCTAACATATTAGAAAATAAACCAAAAAGTTCTGTAAATAAATGAAAAGCTTGGGAACAACCAACCTATCCATCAAGGTGACCTCCTTGAGTGTCTCGGTGAGGGAAGGGCTGCAATGTGATGACAATTGAATGATCAGCAACCGAATCAACTTTATTGTATGGAGAATGTGTGAACTGAAGGATGAGGGAAGAGCCTGGAGAGTAGAAAAGAGGAAGGAAAAAGAAATAGGATAAAGCCATGAGGCCAGAAGTTGGCACTTATTACCCACCACTGTCCAAGAAAGAGCAGTGTGAAATTTGTTTTCACATAGACGTGCCCTGCTGTAAGGTGGAGATGATTCAGTAGACCGCACCCTGATTTGGCTGAAATAGCCCTCAAAAGGTCAGCTTTCCTTAACTCTTGGGATACACTCACCAACCAGCCTGTTGATGACTAACTTGACTCTCTGAGACTGCTGATATTGGGAAAAGGGTGCCCTAGTTGGGAGAGGAACATTCCAGTTACTGAAAGACTAACACTGTTAATGAATACATTGGTATGTATGTGGTTATATAGTTTGGCCTCTTATGAGTTGGATTGCTGGGAGTCAGGCTTTTTCAGGGAGATGAACCCTGACAGGACACTGATATGACTATGACCCAGGTTCAGCTCTGTGGCAAATTCGCCAAGGAAAAGCTACTCTGGGTGGCCACTTTGGGAGCCAGTCAAACGACTCTGGCACAAAGCAAGACATTCTGACTCAATCGTTTTGATCACAGAGTGCAAGGGGTATAATTACGTGGGCAAGACACGATTATTCTGTTCCTGACCCTAGCTCCATTCTTGATCTTACTTCATGATCCAACAGCTACATGTGAGATTGTCTGGCATTTTCTGCTTCTGACTCAGAGCCTCCGTATTCCTGGTTACTAGGTCACTAGGTCAATGGTATTGTCATCCTCTTTAGGCTGACAAAAAGCAGAGAGAGGGTCAGAGTGCAGGGAGTGCAGGGAAACCTTCTGCGTGCTGGGTGGAAGGCAAATCCTATACTTTCTCTCGGGGACCTTGCTTTTTACTTGGTGGTCAAGCGCATGCTTTCTAGAGTCAAATCTAGGTTCGAGTACCAGCTCTGCCTCCTCCTAGCAAGTCACTTAACTTCTCTGCATCACAGGTTTTTTCACCTGTAAAGTATGGATGATAAGCACAACTGCCTCCTGGAGTTGTGAGGATGAAATGTGGACATGAATTTAAGACCACTCAGCTCTAGTGCTTGGCAAATAGAAAAACCAATTAATGTTACAATTAGTGTGAGGGATGATGATGGTGATGATGATGATGGCATGTATCTTGATTTATAATTACACGGTGGGGGGTCTGTGGTTATTTATTATTATTTTTTTTTACAGAGTCTTGCTCTGTCACCAGGCTGCAGTGCAGTGACGCGATCTCGGTTCACTGCAACCTCTGCCTCCTGGGTTTGAGCGATCCTCCCGCCTCAGCCTCCCAAGAAGCTGGGACTACAGGCACGCGCCACCACGCCCAGCTAATTTTTTGTATTTTTAGCAGAGATAGCGTTTCACCATGTTCGTCAGTGATTTCGATCTCCTGACCTTGTGATCTGCCCGCCTCGGCCTCCCAAAGTGCTGGGATTACAGGTGTGAGCCACCTCACCCAGCCGGATTATTCTCTTATCTGTCCTCCCTAACTCTGCCACTCATTCATTACTGTGTCCTCAGTGTGTTCTTTTTTTATTTTTAGTTTTTTTTTGAGACAGTGTCTCACTCTGTCACCCAGGCTGGAGTGCACTGGCGCAATCTTGGCTCACTACAACCTTCGCCTCCCAGGTTCGAGCGATCCTCCTGCCTCAGCCTTCCGAGTAGCTGGGATTACAGGCTAACACCACCACGCCTGGCTAATTTTTGTATTTTTGGTAGAGATGGGGTTTCACCATTTTGGCCAGGTTTTGAACTCCTGGCCTTAAGTGATACACCCACCTCAGCCTCCCAAAGTACTGGGATTGCAGGCGTGAGCCACTGCGCTTGGCCATACATTTGCAGTTTCTAGATATGAAATAGCTTGGTATTTGGGGCTTTTCTCTCAAGTGTTCTGATTATATATAGTTTCTGTTCCTCATGCTAAACCATCCGTGACCTCAAAATGACTGAAATAGGCTGGGTGCAGTGGCTCACGTCTGTAATCCCAGCCCTTTGGGAGGCCGAGGCAGGAGGATCACGAGGTCAGGAGTTCGAGACCAGCCTGACTAACATGGTGAAACCCCATATCTACTAAAAATACAAAAGAAAAAAAATTTGGCCAGGCATGGTGGCAGGCACCTGTAATCACAGCTATTCGGGAGGCTGAGGCAGAAGAATCGCTTGAACCCCAGAGGTGGAGGTTGCAGTGAGCCAAGATGACGCCATTGCACTCCAGCCTGGGTGACAGAGCGAGACTCCATCTCAAAAAAAAAAAAAAAAAAAAATCACTGAAGCAAAATGACCACTCCCAAGTTTCCTGTCTGGTTAGTGACACTGGCTCATTCCTGAGTACCTTACTGCTACCTGCTTTCTCACTCAGTCTTTTTGGGAGCTGAGGAGTCACTCTCCCTCTCAGACCAAATAGAACTGGACTGAGGGTGGGGGCAAAAGTAGCCTCAGATAATCACTGATTATTCTCCTATGGAATAATTTGATGGCTGTGACCCAACCCACTTCGTGGATTTAATCCTAGACCATGTGATTCTGGGATCTGCTCCCCCAACCCCTTCCTGGCCTCAGGCAGGCCTCTCCATGCAATGGGAAGCCCAACCTGAGGATGGCCAGAAGATAGAAATTGAAAATTTTATGAAGCTCTCTGGGGCTTTTTCCCTTGTTGCTGGCAAATCTTGTCCTCGTGGGCATCTGTGGGCCAAGAGGCCCTGGAGGAACAAAGTGCATGTCATGTATTTGTAAACAATTGTGAATTTGGCCTGGCAAGGAGGCATGAACCTGTAGTCCCAGCTACTTGGGAGTCTGAGGAGGGAGGATTGCTGAGGCCAAGAGTTCGAGGCTATAGTACACTACAATCACATCTGTGAATAGCCACTGCACGCCAGCCCAAAGTGCTGGGATTACAGGCATGAGCCACCTCAACTGGCCTGGATTTGTTTTGAAAGATAATTCGATGCTGGGCATGGTGGCTCACACCAATAATCCCAGCACTTTGGGAGGTCGAGGTGGGTAGATTACCTGAGGTCAGGAGTTCAAGACCAGCCTGGCCAACAGGGTGAAAGCCCATCTCTACTAAAAATACAAAATTAGCCGGGTGTAGTGGCACATGCCTGTAATCTCAGCTGCTTGGGAGGCTGAGGCAGGAGAATCGCTTGAATCTGGGAGACAAAGGTTGCAGTGAGCTGAGATCATGCCACTGCACTCCAGCCTGGGCAACAGAGTGAGACTGTCTCAAAAAAAGGAAAGATAATATGATATATTTTGTGTTTTGTGGGGTTATTTTTACATACCTTACCTCCTCCTCTAAAGGCTTAAGTAGAAAGAAAGCAATAGAAACGTATATTTAGGGCCACGTGCGGTGGCTCACACCTGTAATCCCAGCACTTTGGGAGGCCGAGGGAGGTGGATCACAAGGTCAGGAGTTCAAGACCAGCCTGGCCAATATGATGAAACCCCGTCTCTACTAAAAATACGAAAAAAATTAGCCGAGCGTGGCGGCGGGCACCTGGAATCCCAGCTACTTGGGAGGCTGAGGCAGAAGAATCGCTTGAACCCAGGAGGCAGAAGTTGCAGTGAGCCGAGATCACATCATTGCACTCCAGCCTAGGCAACAGAGCAAGACTCCGTCTCAAAAAGAAAAAGAAAAAGAAAAAAAGAAACATATATTTAGGAAAGTAAGATGTATGGAAGTATGAAGCTGGTACAAAACATGTATGTCTTAATGATCTGGGAAGTTGTTTTTTGGGGTTGGGGACAGGGCAAGTCAGGGACTGAGCTTCCTAGCATTTCCCTAGGTGACGTCCCCAGGAAATTTCTATCTCAGCCACTGATGATAATGTTGAATTCAGGGCCAAAGCTAGGTCATTGTCCCAGATTCTCACAATCTGGGGAATCTGGGCAGTATGAACAATTGTGTATCCTTCCATCTAAAAAGTATCATGCCTCTGCAAAGCTCCCTCTGCTCCAGCACGTCCTGTATTTTTTCAACTTTGGATGTTTGCACAAGCTATTATCTTTTGCAAGAATGTCCTGCCCCCTCCTATCCATCTGTGGAAGTCAACCTTTCTTTAGGGCCCAGAGGAAAACCTATCACCTTCTACACCTTCCCAGATGCCCACCATTTGGGTTAAACTCTGCCTCCTCCAGGTTTGCCATGGTCTTTTCCCTCTCTTAAAGCACTGGTCCCAGCCTATGCCATTGTGTGTCACCTTGGCTCCTGTCTCCTACTGGCTGTAGATCTTTGGGAGGGGAGGAACTGGGGAATTTTCATCCTGGGGCTATGGGATAGTGCTTACCCCTAAGTATAAAATAAGCAAGAATCCTTGAATTGAAAAGCTCCAGTGACTTGATAGCTTCCAACAGCCCCTAAAGATGGGGTAGTCCACTGCTCCCTATATAGGAAGGAAGAGGTTCACAGTCTCATGGATTTAGCAGCCTTCGTAGCCTCAGGATCTTTCCCAATGTCCCCAGTTCTCCTGCTGGGCCAGCTGTGGTCTCTGAGAATGCTCAGTTCCCTGGGCTAGGCTGGCTTATGGGGCCCTCCCTCCTGGACCTGGGTCCATGTGACCAAGTGGCCAGCCAGCGAGAGAGCCCTGGGTGATGAGCATCTGGAAGTCAGCTTGCTTGTCTGCCCTAATCACAGCCCTGGGCTCTACCCTCAAGTACCCTACTCACATGGTCCAAGAGGGAACCACTCTCCTGTCATTCCCTCCCCTTCTGCTCCTCATCCTACCCACCCAGCTGTTCTGGGCAAGATCCTGTGGGCATGATGGAATCCTCCCTTTTCTCTACCATCCATCCCTTTGATCACCTAATCCTACAACTGCCCTCCAACCAAGGTGTTCTTTCTATACCAAAAAATCTGATCAGGCCATCACTCCTCTGTTTAAAACCATTCAACGGCTACCCACTGCCCTCAGGATAAAAACTAAAATTCTTAACAGGATTTACAAATTCTTCACCTGGCCCTTTTGAGATAAGAGGATTTATAATCTTTTCAAAGCCAACAAGCATCCTGAGACAATCTTAATTTTTGCAGCTGTCCAAGCTATTTAAGATTGATGAGGTCTGCACTAAGTTGTTAAATGGTGATTAATTTATCTGGCCTGAATGGCATGTGAATTCCAAGGGGATCATTTTTCTCTACCTTCCTTGCTGCACATTGGGACACAGCAAGGCCAGGACACCCTTCTTAGGTGACTGGGTAACCAGGTTCATTAAGGCAGTCAGCACAGAGAAGAAGCAGAAAATGGGGAGGAGTTGTGTAAATGAAATTGCCGATAATACCAAAGGAACCCCAAGAGAGGTTCAGTCTCCCAACAATTGCAGCTTTGCTGCAACATGGCAGGGTGGGGCAGGGGTAGGTTTGGATCTGGGCTGCTTTGCCATGGAAGTGGGGTTACAGGGCAGGGAGAGGCTTACCATCACTGAGCATCTTTAATTGACTTTGTCATTTTACTGAGAACTTACAAATTGAGCTATTCTTCATTGAGTTATATTTGGAAGCAGGTTCAATACATAATACAGTCCTCCCTCTAGAATTTCTGCTTTATGTCCACGTGATGCAGCTTGTTCATTTCTGAATTCCTTTTAATGACAAAAACATTTGGAAGGAATGTAAAGACTCAAAAAGGGGATGGCATGTAAACTATAGTTGGAACAATATGTGGCCATTTAAAAGAAGTGTTGTCCAGGAGGTGGAGGTTGCAGTGAGCTGAGATTGCACCACTGCACTCTAGCCTGGGCCATAGAATGAGACTCCTTCTCAAAAAAAAAAAGAAAAAAAAAGGTAAACATAAATAAATTAAAGGAGGATTTTGGAGTCTTTGCAGCCACATGAAAAACCACACATGATGTCATACTAAGGGGAATGTAGAACACCATCAGTGCCGGGCGCGGTGGCTCGTGCCTGTAATCCCAGCACTTTGGGAGGCTGAGGCAGGCGGATCACGAGGTCAGGAGATCGAGACCATCCTGGCTAACACGGTGAAACCCCGTCTCTACTAAAAATACAAAAAATTAGCTGGGCGTGGTGGCGGGCACCTGTAGTCCCAGCTACTCGGGAGGCTGAGGTAGGAGAATGGCGTGAACCCAGGAGGCGGAGCTTGCAGTGAGCTGAGATCGCACCACTGCACTCCAGCCTGGGCGACAGAGCGAGACTCCGTCTCAAAAAAAAAAAAAAAAAAAAAAAAAGAACACCATCAGAACCCAGAAAGGTGGTGCAGCTATGTGAGATGGTGACAAGAACATGGATTTTCTAGCTGGATAGACCGGACTGGGAGTTCAGTTTCCATTTCCCCCACTTACAAGCTGTGTGATCATCTGCAAGCTCATTAACTTCTCTGGGCTTTAGTTTTCTTCTTTTTTATTTTTGTTTTCCCTTTTGTTTTAAGCTCCTTACTACCATCATTGAATCTTTGCTTTTAAAATGTGGGCCAGGAGTGGTGGCACATTGCTGTAATCCCAATGCTTTGGGCAGCCAAGGAAGGAGGATCGCTTCAGGCCAGGAATTAGCCAGGCATGGTGGCTCATGCCTGTAGTCCCAGCTACTCTGCAGGCTGAGGCAGTGGGTTGGGATGGGAGGGTCACATAAGCCCTGAAGTAAGAGGTTGCAGTGAGCTAATATTGTGACACTGCACTCCAGCCTGGGTCACAGAGTGAGACCTGCCTCTGAAAAAAGAGAAAGAAAGAAAAAGTAAAATATGGGTAAAACACAAGCTTGATTGTTTTCAGTATTGGATAAGGTAATTCATGAGGCTGGGCACAGTAGCTCACGCCTGTAATCCCAGTGCTTTGAAAGGTGGAAGCAGGCAGGTCTCTTTTATTTTCCCAGCTGTTTCAGTTATCTATTGCTATGTAACAAACTGGCCTGAAAGTTAGTGGCTTAAAACAACTACTTCATTATATTTCAGTTTTAAAATCAGAAATTTAGGCAAGTCTCAGCCATGGAATTCTTCTGCTCTTTGTGGCATTCACTAAAGCCACTCAATAGTCTATCTGATGACTGAACTGGTGTGGAGGGTCAAGATACCTTCCTTATTCATAGGGCTGGTACTGGGCTCATTTGAAACTCTTTAATTTTTAATTTTTATTTTTTGCTCTTCAGTCCTACCTGTGGCCTCTGCAGTATGGAGGTCTCAGTGTAAATGCATTTTTACATGGTGGCTCAGGACTTCTAGAGTGAGTGTCTGAAGGACAGGAAGGGGAAGCTGCCAGACTCTTAAGACCTGGGCCTGGAGAGTGGCACAGAATCACTTCTGCTGTGTTCTTTTTTTTTTTTTTTTTTTTTTTTTTGACAGAGTCTCCCTCTGTCACCCAGGCTGGAGTGTGGAGTGCAGCCCTGCGATCTTGGCTCACTGCAACCTCTGCCTCGTGGGTTCAAGGGATTCTCCTGCCTCAGCCTCCCAAGAAGCTGGGACTACAGGTGTGTGCCACCACATTCAAATAATTTTTGTATTTTTAGTAGAGACAGGGTTTCACTATGTTGGCTAGGCTGGTCTTGAACCCCTAACCTCAAGTAATCCACCCACCACAGCCTCCCAAAGTGCTAGGATTACAAGCATGAGCCACCGCACCTGGGCTTACTTCTACCGTGTTCTATTGTTCAAGTGGTTACAGAGCCTGCCCAGATTCAAGGAGAGAGTACAGAGACCCCACATCTCCATGGGAGGAATGTTGCAGAATTCAGAGCCATTTTTAACCTACTTCAGCAACTGTCTGAAAGATATAATATTAATATTAACATTTGTTTTAAAGTTAAATATCAAAATGTTTCCCTGGGAAGATACCTGGCCATTGATTTATGGGGTGTGGTGGTTTCTTGGAGTCAGACAGAGCTGGTGTTCTTATGCCAGGCAGGCACTTAAATTTTCTGAGCTGCAATTTCCTTATCTCTAAAACGGGGATAATAATTTTGTTTGCATTTCATGATTGGTTTGATCATTTAAAAGATCATAGGCCAAGCACGGTGGCACATGCATATAATCCCAGCACTTTGGGAGGCCAAGGTGGGTGGATCACTTAAGGTCAAGGGTTCGAGACCAGCCTGGCCAACATGGTGAAACCCCACCTCTATTAAAAATACAAAATTATCCAGGTGTGGTGTTGTGTGCCTGTAATCCCAGTTACTTGGGAGGCTGAGGCAGGAATCGCTTGAACCTGAGAGGCAGAGGTTGCAGTGAGCCGAGATTGCGCCACTGCATTCCAGCCTAGGCGACAGAGTGAGACTCCTCAAAACAATAAAATGAAACAAAATGAAAAGATAATACAGCTGGGTGGGGTGGCTCACATCTATTATACAATCCCAGCACTTTGGGAGGCTGAGGCGGGTGGATCGCCTGAGGTCAGGAGTTTGAGACCATCCTGACCAATATGGTGAAACCCTGTCTCTACTAAAAATACAAAAATTAGTTGGGCTTGGTGGTGCGTGCCTGTAGTCCCAGCTACTCAAGAGGCTGAGGTGGGGAGAATCGCTTGAACTGGGGAGGCAGAGGTTGCAGCCAGCCGAGATCACACCACTGCACTCTAGCCTGGGTGACAGAGCAAGACTCTGTCTTGAAAAAAAAAATGATAATATATGTAAAGTGTTTTTCTTTTATTTTTGAGTTGGAGTCTTGCTCTGTCACCCAAGCTGGAGTGCAGTGGTGTGATCTAGGCTCACTGTAACCTTCACCTCCCAGGTTCAAGCAAATCTCCTGCTTCAGCCTCCAGAGTAGTTGGGACTACAGGCAGCTGCCACCACACTGGGCTTGTTTTTGTATTTTTAGTAGAGACAGAGTTTCACCATGTTGGCCAGGCTGGTCTCAAACTCCTGAGCTCAAGTAATCTGCCCACCTCGGCCTCCCAAAGTGCTGGGATTACAGGCATGAGCCACCGCACCTGGCCTTGTAAACTGTTTTTAAAAGCATGTCTTCCCTTTCTGAAAATTTATCATTGACTATAGGGGCAAACCATTTGTCAAGTCTTTCTCTTGCCTAGATGGGACCCCTCTGCTAGTGTCCTCTGGTGGAAGGGCACCTAGTGATTGGCTGTGGCCCCAGGCAGAATCCTGCTGTCCAGGAGTCAGCCCACTTCCCCTTCAAGCATCAAGCAGACACATTTCTTCCCCAGTGAATGATGTACAGCAGAGCATTTTTAGAATCTTAACATTTTCCTGCTAAAAATCTTACAGCACTGAGAAGTGAAGGGATTTACCCACAGTTGCTCACCAGTTAGAGGCGGAGCAGGACAAGAGTCCAGCCCTGTGCCTGGCTCATGCAGGGATAAGTTTTATTTTTATTTATTTATTTATTGAGACAGAGTTTCACTCTTGTTGTCCAGGCTGGAGTGCAATGGCGCGATCTCGGCTCACTGCAACCTCCGCCTCCTGGGTTCAAGTGATTCTCCTGCCTCCGGCTCCCGAGTAGCTGGGATTACAGGCATGCACCACCATGCCCAGCTAATTTTTGTATTTTCAGTAGAGTCAGGGTTTCACTATGTTGGCCAGGCTGGTCTCAAACTCCTAACCTCAGGTGATCTGCCCACCTTGACCTCCCAAAGTGCTGGGATTACAGGCATGAGCCATCACACCCAGCCAAGGATAAGTTTTATTATCTCTATCTTTTGAGATTTTAAATACATAAGTAGTTTAGAGTCTCCCACAGTTTGGGTTGAATTCATTAGAGACACCACCAGGGCCTGGAATTTTAAACTACAAATTCAACTGGATACATATAGGACTATTCAGGTTATCTATTTCTTCTTGAGTGAATTTTGGTAGTTTGTGTCTTTCAAATAATTGATCCATTTCATTTAAGCTGCCAAATTTTTGGGTTGCAGTTGTTCGTAGCATACCCTTATTTCTCATAGTTTTGTAGTGCTTAAGCTGTGATTTTAACCCCATTCTCTCTGCCTCCAAGTTCTTTACTTTTAATCACTTTGTTCTATGGCAGCTGACTCCCCTTAGCTCACTGGAAGGGGAGATGATAGTTACCCTTTTCACAGATGAGAAAGCTGAGGATCAGAGAGGATATACATCTAGTTAGAGGAAGGGTCAAGATTTGAACCTAGGCCTGCTGTGACTGCAGAGTCAGTTTCTTCTTTTCATCATGTACTATTGCCCAACCCTTCCACCCTTCACTCGTCTCAATATCTCTGCCTTGCCTCAGACAAGGAAGCTAAATCTCTGGGGGTTGGACCACCATGGGCGTTTTGGGAAGCTCCCCGGGTGATTCTAACACGCGGTCAAGGTTGAGGTGCATTGTTGGGCCTGCTCAGTCAGTGGGGTCTGGCACAGCAGGCATACTGCAGTCAGCTCCTGAAGGATGAGTTGAGTTTGCCCAGCCACATGCCAAGTGTTACATGGGAGGCAGAGATGGCATAGGACTCAACTGGGTGGTTCTGCTCCCTGCAGTGTTGTCTGGGGTCATTTATGTGATGACATTCAAGTGGGAGCCTGTCTAGGGTGAGAATGACCAAGATAGGTTTCCTAACTTGTCTAGTGACTTAACTGGGGTGTCTGAAACAGCTGAGGGATGGCTAGTTACCTTCCTCTCTATGTGGTCTCTCATCATTTAGTAGTCAGACCTGAGCTTTCTTACAAGACAACTGGATCCTAAGAGGGCAAGAGTGAAAGCTGTGAGACCTCTTATGGCCCAGGCCTGGAACTGGCACAGTGTTACTTAGACTGCATTCCATTGGCATAACATGCCATGAGACCAGCCCCAGTTTGTCTTGCCAGACCCCTATTAACTCCAATAGGGATGGTATCATGTCCGAGAGGCCGAAGGAAAGCAAACAAGACACAGGATGTATTGGGTGAACTTAAATACAGCGATGCTCCAGTGGTGGCAGGCTGGATGGGAAAACAACTACCGTTTGTAAAAAGCATGCAGTTTATATAGCATTTGGGCACGGTGGCTGTAATCCTAGCACCTTTGGAGGCCAAGGCAGGTAGATAGCTTGCTCTATTTTTTTTTTAATTAAAAAAATATATATATACACACACACAGAGCACATTTATTTTTGAGATGGAGTCTCACTCTGTTGCCCAGGCTGGAGTGCAGTGGCATGATCTTGGCTTACTGCAACCTCTGCCTCCCGGGTTCAAGTGATTTTCCTGCCTCAGTCTCTCGAGTAGATGGGATTACTGGTGCGCACCACCACGCTCAGCTATTTTTGTATTTTTAGTACAGACGAGGTTTCACCATGTTGGCCAGGCTGGTCACAAACTCCTAACCTCAGGTGATCTGCCCGCCTCGGCCTCCCTAAGTGCTGGGATTACAGGTGTGAGCCATGGCGCCCAGCCTACACATAGCATTTTTATTTAGCAGCCTCCACCTAGCAACCTTCTTTTAACCCAAAACAAAGGGCGTTCATCCCCTGTATAGCCTGTGTTCCAAGGAATGGGCCAAGGATTCAAATGTCCTTCATTGATAATGAGTGAGTCTGTGGGTTGGCCACTCCCGGATTTCTTAGCTCGGAACGCCAAATGCACATTCTTCTTAGACCATAGGGTCATTCTCAGCATATGCTTAAGTTAAGTTATTGGTGTCAGGTGTGTCTGCCATACAAAGTTCAAAAAGAAGAGAAATAAACTTCACCTCTAGTTTTTTGGGCTTTTTTTCTTTTCTTTTTATTATTATTATACTTTAAGTTTTAGGGTACATGTACACAATGTGCAGGTTAGTTACATATGTGTACATGTGCCATGCTGGTGTGCTGCACCCATTAACTTGTCATTTAGCATTAGGTATATCTCCTAATGCTATCCCTCCCCACTCCCCCCACCCCACAACAGTCCCCAGAGTGTGATGTTCCCCTTCCTGTGTCCATGTGTTCTCATTGTTCAATTCCCATCTATGAGTGAGAACATGCGGTGTTTGGTTTTTTGTCCTTGTGATAGTTTGCTGAGAATGATGATTTCCAATTTCATCCACGTCCCTACAAAGGACATGAACTCATCATTTTTTATGGCTGCATAGTATTCCATGGTGTATATGTGCCACATTTTCTTAATCCAGTCTATCATTGTTGGACATTTGGGTTGGTTCCAAGTCTTTGCTATTGTGAATAGTGCCGCAATAAACATACATGTGCATGCGTCTTTATAGCAGCATGATTTATAGTCCTTTGGGTATATACCTAGTAATGGGATGGCTGGGTCAAATGGTATTTCTAGTTCTAGATCCCTGAGGAATCGCCACACTGACTTCCACAATGGTTGAACTAGTTTACAGTCCCACCAACAGTGTAAAAGTGTTCCTATTTCTCCACATCCTCTCCAGCACCTGTTGTTTCCTGACTTTTTAATGATCGCCATTCTAACTGGTGTGAGTTGGTATCTCATTGTGGTTTTGATTTGCATTTCTCTGATGGCCAGTGATGATGAGCATTTTTTCATGTGTCTTTTGGCTGCATAAATGTCTTCTTTCGAGAAGTGTCTGTTCATATCCTTTGCCCACTTTTTGATGGGGTTGTTTGTTTTTTTCTTGTAAATTTGTTTGAGTTCATTGTAGATTCTGGATATTAGCCCTTTGTCAGATGAATAGGTTGCGAAAATTTTCTCCTATTCTGTAGGTTGCCTGTTCACTCTGATGGTAGTTTCTTTTGCTGTGCAGAAGCTCTTTAGTTTAATTAGATCCCATTTGTCAATTTTGGCTTTTGTTGCCATTGCTTTTGGTGTTTTAGACATGAAGTCCTTGCCCATGCCTATGTCCTGAATGGTAATGCCTAGGTTTTCTTCTAGGGTTTTTATGGTTTTAGGTCTAAGGTTTAAGTCTTTAATCCATCTTGAATTAATTTTTGTATAAGGTGTAAGGAAGGGATCCAGTTTCAGCTTTCTACATATGGCTAGCCAGTTTTCCCAGCACCATTTATTAAATAGGGAATCCTTTCCCCATTGCTTGTTTTTCTCAGGTTTGTCAAAGATCAGATAGTTGTAGATATGCGGCGTTGTTTCTGAGGGCTCTGTTCTGTTCCATTGATCTATATCTCTGTTTTGGTACCAGTACCATGCTGTTTTGGTTACTGTAGCCTTGTAGTATAGTTTGAAGTCAGGTAGCGTGATGCCTCCAGCTTTGTTCTTTTGGCTTAGGATTGCCTTGGCGATGCGGGCTCTTTTTTGGTTCCATATGAACTTTAAAGTAGTTTTTTCCAATTCTGTGAAGAAAGTCATTGGTAGCTTGATGGGGATGGCATTGAATCTATAAATTACCTTGGGCAGTATGGCCATTTTCACGATATTGATTCTTCCTACCCATGAGCATGGAATGTTCTTCCATTTGTTTGTATCCTCTTTTATTTCATTGAGCAGTGTTTTGTAGTTCTCCTTGAAGAGGTCCTTCACGTCCCTTGTAAGTTGGATTCCTAAGTATTTTATTCTCTTTGAAGCAATTGTGAATGGGAGTTCACTCAGGATTTGGCTCTCTGTTTGTCTGTTATTGGTGTATAAGAATGCTTGTGATTTTTGTACATTGATTTTGTATCCTGAGACTTTGCTGAAGTTGCTTATCAGCTTAAGGAGATTTTGGGCTGAGACAATGGGGTTTTCTAGATATACAATCATGTCATCTGCAAACAGGAACAATTTGACTTCCTCTTTTCCTAATTGAATACCCTTTATTTCCTTCTCCTGCCTAATTGCCCTGACCAGAACTTCCAACACTGTGTTGAAAAGGAGTGGTGAGAGAGGGCATCCCTGTCTTGTGCCAGTTTTCAATGGGAATGCTTCCAGTTTTTGCCCATTCAGTATGACATTGGCTGTGGGTTTGTCATAGATAGCTCTTATTATTTTGAGATATGTCCCATCAATACCTAATTTATTGAGAGTTTTTAGCATGAAGGGTTGTTGAATTTTGTCAAAGGCCATTTCTGCATCTATTGAGATAATCATGTGGTTTTTGTCTTTGGTTCTGTTTATATGCTGGATTACATTTATTGATTTGCGTATATTGAACGAGCCTTGCATCCTAGGGATAAAGCCCACTTGATCATGGTGGATAAGCTTTTGGATGTGCTGCTGGATTCGGTTTGCCAGTATTTTATTGAGGATTTTTGAATCAATGTTCATCAAGGATATTGGTCTAAAATTCTCTTTTTTGGTTGTGTCTCTGCCCGGCTTTGGTATCAGGATGATGCTGGCCTCATAAAATGAGCTGAGGAGGATTCCCTCTTTTTCTATTGATTGGAATAGTTTCAGAAGGAATGGTACCAGTTCCTCCTTGTACCTCTGGTAGAATTTGGCTGTGAATCCATCTGGTCCTGGACTCTTTTTGGTTGGTAAGCTATTGATTATTGCCACAATTTCAGAGCCTATTATTGGTCTATTCAGAGATTCAACTTCTTCCTTGTTTAGTCTTGGGAGAGTGTATGTGTTGAGGAATGTATCCATTTCTTCTAGATTTTCTAGTTTATTTGCGTAGAGGTGTTTGTAGTATTCTCTGATGGTAGTTTGTATTTCTGTGGGATCGGTGGTGATATCCCCTTTATCATTTTTTATTGTGTCTATTTGATTCTTCTCTCTTTTTTTCTTTATTAGTCTTGCTAGCGGTCTATCAATTTTGTTGATCCTTTCAAAAAACCAGCTCCTGGATTCATTAATTTTTTGGAGGGTTTTTTTGTCTCTATTTCCTTCAGTTCTGCTCTGATTTTAGTTATTTCTTGCCTTCTGCTAGCTTTTGAATGTGTTTGCTCTTGCTTTTCTAGTTGTTTTAATTGTGATGTTAGGGTGTCAATTTTGGATCTTTCCTGCTTTCTCTTGTGGGCATTTGGTGCTATCAATTTCCTTCTACACACTGCTTTGAATGTGTCCCAGAGATTCTGGTATGTTGTGTCTTTGTTCTCATTGGTTTCAAAGAACATCTTTATTTCTGTCTTCATTTCATTATGTACCCAGTAGTCATTCAGGAGCAGGTTGTTCAGTTTCCATGTAGTTGAGTGGTTTTGACTGAGTTTCTTAATCCTGAGTTCTAGTTTGATTGCACTGTGGTCTGAGAGACAGTTTGTTATAATTTCTGTTCTTTTACATTTGCTGAGTAGAGCTTTACTTCCAAGTATG